>NC_000006.12:5817575-5969090 GCF_000001405.40 Homo sapiens | reverse complement strand
CACTTCCTCCCTCCCTGTGCTGGTCCTTCTGTGCCGAGCTGGACCAAGGCCAGGCTGCTCACCGAGAGCTGCCCATGCCACGACGGCTTATGCTCGCTGACATTCAGGAGGGTTTCTGTAAAACCACGGGCTTTGCAGGAGACTGGGCTGATCTCCCACTTCCTGAATTGGTCATGCACTTTTACTTCCCTGACATCCTTTTTCTGAAATTGATCAATGTTTCTCCCAAAGTCAGCAATAACTAGCAGGTGGTTGATATTCAGATTTGAGGCTGATGTCTTCGGACTTCAAACAAGTGATAAGACTCTTTCCTTTGAAAGACAAAAATGTATGTATAGCTGTGATCCACAGCTTGACAGCACCTCGGGATGACCAGAGGAGCTTAAAAATAGGGATGCCTGCATCCCACTCCAGAGGCTCTGACATAATTGGTCTGGGGTGTGGCCTGGGCATTGGGGGTAGTTTATAAACACCCCCAGGTGATTCTAATGTGCAATGAAGGGTGAGAATGGGTAAAAAGTAAGTGCTTAGGTAAGTGCAGTTTCTCTGCCCCCAAGCAGGTGTCTTATCAGCTGGCGAGCCACAAAGTAAAGTTGGCCTTTTTTTTTTTTTTTTTTTGCATGACAACTTTTTTTATATATACTTTAAGTTCTAGGGTACATGTGCACAATGTGCAGGTTTGTTACATAGGTATACATGTGCCATGTTGGTTTGCTGCACCCATCAACTCATCATTTACATTAGGTATTTCTCCTAATGCTATCCCTCCCCCAGCCCCCCACCAATGTAAAAATGGCCTTTCTCTGGCTTTCAGGACTCTCCCGTGTGTCATGCCTACAGGTGAGTCAAAAATGAAAGCACCTGCCAAGTTACAGAAGGTTTATGAGCCATGCCAAAGGGTCTGGGCTAGCTCTTGCTAAAACCCTTGTCCAAGAGTTTTCAGCAGAATGAAAAGTTGGTCAGGTTTGCGTTGTAGGAAATATTGCCTGGCAGCACTGAAGAGAATGAATCTGAGTGGCGATGGTCACAGGAAGCTAAGAGACCACTGAGGTCCCAGCAAGAAGGTAAGAACCTGAAAAAATGCAAGTACCATAGCAGAAGGCCAGGGCATGGAGAAGAAGAAAGAGGGGGCTTCTCCTCTTCCCAGTGGTGCTGGCCCAGGACTCTTGGCCTCTCTACACTGAGCCCATTCTCCCTGTTGCCTTGTGATTTGTTGGACTTTTGTGTGCAGGCCTCAGTGTCTCCACTGACTTGTTTCTTACTCGTAATAATGACTCACATTAATTATGCTTTGGCTGTGGGCCAGCCACCCACTCAGAACATCTCACTTTACCAATAAGAAGACTAAAGCTTAGAAAGGTTAAGTGATTTGCCCAAGGTCACACAGCCAGTAGGAAGTGAAGGCAGATACAGAGGCAGATTTCTGACCAGTAATCTACCCATTTCCACTTCTACCTGTACTGCCTCTGTGCTTCTCCCCTGGCTGAGGCCACCTCCTTTTGAATTGAGCCTCAGAACCTGCCGCACCCACAGGCTCTTTCCAACTTTCTATCCTGGGGCCTCCTGGTCAGCCTGACCTTGGAGTCTTGGTGCTCACAAGAAGGAGAGGGTCCAGCTTGTGGTTCCATTGACTTGATTGACCAACCTCTTAAAATAGTTCTAATTTACATTATTTCAACTCCTACTGCCTCATAGCTAAAAAAGACCCCCTGGTCCCTTAAGTTTCTCACATGCTAAAGTATTAAAACTCCATAAATTCCCCTTTTTTTTTCAGAGAAAATTTTTTAAAATAGTATTTATAAAAAACTTAACCTTTGTGAACGGGTCAGAGTTACAGGCTGTAGGTGTGAGTAGTTTAGAAGTTTCTGTGTTAAGACTTTGAGTTCAGGTTCCCAGTATGCCTAGAGAAATCCAGAAAGCATAGAGGGAAGGAGAGAAGGCTTACACTTTAAGAATTTCTGTGCCAACACTGTTTGAAATGCAGCCTGGAATTACCCCCACAATAGTTAGAACAAATCTTGGGATCTTAAGAAGAACTGATTCTCTAATCATTGCTCCTTTGCTCATTAGCTGTCGCTGACTAAAAATCTATTTGAAACATACCAGTGATGTCATTTTACAAAGGATAGAGTTAAATGGAAATATTACAATGCTATCTATAGGAAAAACCTGTGAAATATACAAAAGCAAAGCTCAGAGAGACTGTTGGTAACAGGTGAAATGTGTGAAGTGGTGGACAGTAATATACAGAGTAGACTATAATTTGTTGCTGAGAGTCTTTAACAATACAGATAATGGTTAAGAGCCTGGTGTTTGGGTTAGACAGGTCTGCTTTCAAGTACAATTTATTTTTCTTGTTTTCTTTTTCTTTTTTCAACTTTTAGGTTTAGGGATACATGTGAGAGTTTGTTACATGTCACAGGGTTTGCTGTACAGTACAGTTTCTAATATATATATTTTGAGACAGAGTCTTGCTACTATGCCCAGGCTGGAGTGCAATGGCACGATCTCAGCTCACTGCAACCTCCGCTTCCTAGGTTCAAGTGACTCTCCTACCTCAGCCTCCCAAGTAGCCGGGACTACAGGCGCATGCCACCATGCCTGCCTAATTTTTGTATTTTTAGTAGAGACGGGGTCTCACCATATTGGCTAGGTTGGTCTTGAACTCCTGACCTCAAGTGATCCACCTGCCTCAGCCTCCCAAAGTGCTGGGATTACAGGCATTAGCCACTGTGCCCGGCTCCTATTACATATTAACTTAGAAAGTTTGGCAAGTTATTTAGCCTCTGGTAGCATCAGTTTCCTCATCTGTATAATAGGGATGTCATAATGAGAGATAATCTATGTAAGGTACTATCACAGCATTGCCATACAGTGTACACTCACTCACTGTTAATCATGGCCAAAAAGTATGTAACATGGATTAAGGAAATGGTACCACTGGAAACTGACAGAGCCTTCTTAAGATCCCAAGAAGAAGTGATTCTCTAATCATTGCTATGGCTATGTCATCACTATGTCCATGGCTGTGTCTTTGCTTATTGTGTAGTGCAGCAGGGATACTGGCCACCTGGGTAGCCCGTGACTAACTGAGGGTTCATTCAGCCTTCAACCAGGTATGGGGCATGGGATAAGTGTTCCCTCCCGGCCTCGGTTTCATGCTCTGAAATATAAGCTGTCTTGCAGAGCCAACCTTCTGTGACTCTCTCTGGCGAGCTGCTGGCAGTGCACTAGTCACTCTCTGAAGAGTAGTCTGGTTCCATGATTTTACAGCTTTGTTGTTGGACACAACAGTAGCCTCTTTTAAAACAGGAACCCATCTATATTATGCAGAACCTGCGTTGCCCAGTCTATGACAACCATTAGCATTAACCTGTTGTTAATAAAAATAAGTAACAGTCGATTCAATAAGAGGTTGCTGACAAAACAAAATCAGCAGAATTCAGGCATTTCTGACCACTGGAGACTCCACTGATCACCCTAAAAGCCAGTCATGGCCAAGCGTGGTGGCTCACGCATGTAATCCCAGCACTTTGGGAGGCCGAGGCGGGTGGATCACGAGGTCAGGAGAGCAAGACCATCCTGGCTAACATGGTGAAACGCCGTCTCTACTAAAAATCCAAAAAAAAAAATTAGCCAGGCGTGGTGGCGGGTGCCTATAGTCCTAGCAACTTGGGAGGCTGAGGCAGGACAATGGCGTGAACCCGGGAGGCAGAGCTTGCAGTGAGCCGAGATCGCACCGCTGTACTCCAGCCTGGGCAACAGAGCGAGACTCTGTCTCAAAAAAATAAAAAATAAAAATAAATAAAAAGCCAGGCAACTTTGAGGAGACCCAAGCACATTCAGCCCTGGACTGCCAGCACCTGACTCACCCGTCCATCAGACGGCCCTGCCGGAGCCACCTGCTGGTAGTGTTGTTCTCCATATGCAGTGGGGTGTATTTTTAATTTTAGGAATTCCAATCTCATTACCAGTTTGAAAGAGCTCTTTGGTGATTCTTTTAGGAAAGCTAAGAATTATTTGGTGACATGGGTAGTTTCCTCAACTCCATTAGGGGAGGAGAATTTTTGTGTGCTAGTTGTTGTTTGAGTCTGGAAATTTCAAGCCTTTGGTAACAGAACTGTGAACTCCTCTGCTACACTGGGAGCACACTGCGGGTAGGAACCATAAGCAAATTTGCCTGGCACAGGGCAGGCACTAATCTGTAATTGTTGAATAAATGAGTAAATGATGAATGGTTGAATTCCAGGACCCCAAAGGCCTTTGAATTCAAATTTCTTAGCTTCATAAGAACCACTATATAAGAATCACTGAATTTACTTAAAGGCTATATATATATGTATATACACATACATAAACATATATATTTCTCTTATTTATGTTACAAACATATTGTATACATTTTATAGATTCTTCTTATACTGAAGAGAGTGGGATGAGAATAATTGTTTATATTTATTGATGTTTTCCAGTATGACTTATGATTAGACAATATGGCTTTCTTTGGAATAAAATGGTATGTGAACAAAGGCAGGAAACTGTATGGGAGGGAAATAAGTGCCAGAAGAATTTTTCTTCTTCATTTAGGTAGAACTGAAGAGGCTTTTCAGGTTCTTCCATAAAGAAGAGACTTGTAAAAACTTCAGTGTGATATTCTATTGGGTTCTGTTGACATCATAACCCCAGCAAATATTTTAAAAGATATAGTATTCAAGTAAAATAATCCCTCAACTATGAATATGAGTCTTCATTTAGATAAATGAATATAAAATTGATCAACTGGTGCCAAGCAAGTCTTAAAATTCATGTAATTATCTGGGTAATATCTTAAAAGTCACCCTCTGTCTGTATAGCGTGACTTATGAGACTGTGTGCCTCTCCCATTGGGTAGACAGAACTGGTGCATTTCAATGCATCAGGCATCACATTAGGCAGAGTGTGGGGTGGTAGTGGTGGTTGTTTGGAAGTTTAAATGTGGGGAAGGGATGTGATGGATTTTCTGCTTGGTCTTTGTAAACCCAGCATCCTCCCTGACCCCTGCTGCACTGTATTCTGCATTGCTGGAGCAAAGTCTGCAATTTCTTTTCCCAGTGTGGTTCAGAGTTAGTGCTTCCCAGTGAAAAGTGGAAGAAAATAATTCTGTCATGCAGATGACATAATGCGCTATTGCTTTTGGGGGGATATCCCCCAAGAACAACATACTGCAGGCAAGCAGCTGAAATTATTGGTAGCAGCTGCCCTTGGCTCTGAGGTGCCCTCCTGAGAATCTCTTGCTTCGGTACTCCAGGGTAGCTGGAGTCTGGGTGGCAGCTTCCTCTAATTCCTACTGTTCTAGATTTAGTGAAAGCAGATTTCCTGACCTTGACAATCCCAGGCCTACTCAATGATCATGTACTTCCTTGGATTTAATCTCTTTCTGCTTAAAATGCTTGGTTTCTCCTTTTCTTTTCTTGCCTGAATGAACCTTGACTGTTAGACTATCCTCACCAGCCTCACTCTAGATGAGCCTGAGTCCCAGGGTTTTGGCAGTATTGGAATACGGATCGTGACAGAGCTGTCCAACGGCCAAGGGTAAATGGAAGTCACACCCCGGGCAGCCCAAAACCAGGGGACTAAAGGGAGAGGGAGGAGAGCAGGAATGGAACCGAGTTTGGGTTGTCTGCAAGGATTGGGGCAACATGGAGAAGTGGATCCTAAGAAGTCATCAAACAACGCCTAGTAGAGAGAAGGATCCTTTAGGGGAGTCTCTGGATGGGGGTGTTGACTGTTGGGACTGCTGGGTCAGTTCTCAAAGATACCTCTGACCATTAGATGGCACGTATAACAAGGAAACAGACCCCTCAAAAATAAAGTAAATGGAGTGTCTTCATAGGGAAACAGTATCATGGGCAGATTTAATTTGCCCTGAGTGAACTAGGACCATGTCTTTTACGTGGTTAAAAACACTGCATCTTAAGGATTGAATTGCAATAAATTAAATTATTCGTCCCATTTCTTTATTCTTTACTGGTAGTGCTAGACAACCACATTTAGCCATGGCCTTGTGGTGTGAGAAATGTACTTCCTTGACCCTTGATTTGGGGTTTGGTCATGTGACTCACTTTGGCCAATGGGCTGTTAGCAGATGTTGATGCAAGAAGAGGCTAAAAGCACACTAACAGAACTGGGCTCATACTTTTGTGCATCTGCCATGACCATGGGAAGAATACACCCTGGATAGCCAATGTCTCTCCAGCCCAGGCCCTGGAATGAAACACAAGGAACAGAGATGCTGCAACTGACTCAGAGGCCCACAGGCACATGGGTGATATTATGCTTAATTGTTTTCTACAGAGAGTTGGCGGTTACTCGTTATGCAGCAAAGTCATAGCAATAGCTGCCTGATACATGTTGCGTATGTCATATCATAGACACTGTTCTTTATGGTGTAATTAAATAATTTTCGGGGATCACTTTGACCACATTCAGTTTTTACAATCCATGCACTAGCTTTAGTCTCAAATTCACAAATGAAATGAGATCCCACCCTGCCTTCAATGACAACTTTGTTTAGTCTTGTTTCATAAGTAAAATTTGTGATAATTTGTTGCAGCTGATATTCTAGCTGGTTTTTATATTATTTAGGTAATGAATGATAGGCCTAGAATGTATGTGGACAAAAAGATCTATAGTTTCAAGTCCATAGAAATTACTTTTCTGGTTATCAGCATCTGAAACCTGTACTTTTAGATAATTTTACAATTGTTTTCAACTTCCATTTTTCATCTCTAGTTAAATTTACACAGCATAGAAGTGTCTTTAAGAATGAACAAACTTTAAAAAAAGCCATGAACGAACTGAGAAATATACATGATCATTCATTTGGCACCATCTTCTAAAATTTCACACTTCAAGGATAAGCAAAATTAGTATAATTCACTTCTTAAATTGCTTGCTTACTAACATTGTAAGTGAGGCAGTGCAAGAGGAAGGAGACTATAGCTTTCAACAGATGTGACAAGGCAACCCTCCCAAGGGTTTTAGAGAATGGAGTGATGCTGACAGATGGCAAACCTACTGACCCCAGCCCTGATGGCTCCTCAGTGGGGGGCCTGAACTGTCTGACCCATGGTGTCCCCTTTGCATACTACACCCAGACGGCAGGTGGTCATGGAAAATATTTCAGCGACCAAATTTTTCCACTTGCTTTTTGCTGCCCAAGTTGAATGTCAATGGTAAGCTATCCTGTTCAATAGTTATTTCAGATAAATAGTTCTTTAACATAAAGCTCTCTTCTTTCTATGGGGGAAGAGATCGGGTTGTATCATTGTTGTTATGGTTACACACTCCTTCTTTGAGTTCAGATAGTGCCTCTTAGTAGCCAAGAGAACTCTGTTTATGTGAGCCTGATCCTACACTCAGTCTGAGGGAGTGAAGTGAGAAATGTCCCAGCCAGTTTCTTTTGGTTTCTTATTGTCCGGGTCAAGGGAGGAACACGAGGCCCCTGTGATGGGGCTCCCACAGGTACCCTTGCGTCGCTTGGCTCCATTTGATCCCGCTTGTCCTTGCTCCCATGGTCTCTCCAGGTCTTGCATGATGCAGTATCGTGTGGCTAAAAGCACATTAAAGCTTGTGTCTGAGTCCCTGCCTCAACACTCATTAGTTGAGGAAACATGGGCAAGGGACTGGACTAATTTAGACTGGATCATCTCATCTTCAAAATAGAAGCAATAATAGCACCTACTCGGCAGGGCACGGTGGCTCACGCCTGTAATCCCAGAGCGAGATCATGCCACTGCACTCCAGCCTGGGCAACGAGTAAAACTCCGTCAAAAAAAAAAAAAAAAAACAGCACCTACTCTATAAGATTATAGTGATAATTAAATGAGATAATCCTATAAATAGCCTAGCACAGATCCTGATACGTATGTTCTCAGTTAATTTCAGCCACTGCAATGTGCTGGTAATTACTCTTATGAAGGGAAGATGCCACAGAGTGTAGGTGTAGGTGTAGGGGGTTCCTAGGTGTAGGGAGCTTTGGGTAGAGTAACTGCAAAGTAGACAGTTCCTCTTCCACCATCTCGCCCTTAAGGTCAGCCCCCAGAGGATCCAGATAAGACGGCAGGGTACTGAAGGATGTGGTGTCTTAAGTCCTGATCCTTCACAAGGCTCTGAGGCCCTTCTCACACCTGCCAGGCCTAGCAGAGTGGCCCACCAGTGTGGTGGCACAGAGCTGGCTGAGAATTGACTCCTGGAGGAGCAGGATGGTGAGGCCAAAAACATACCCAGCTTCTAGGGGCCGATTTTGACATCTTATTTCAGATCTGCTGAAGCTGCCCCAAGCTCCCCCAGGCTGCTGTCTTTCGTGGTTTGACATACACGTCTGTCATTGGGTACATGCCATTTGGGGCCACAGAGTGACAGGCAGGGCCATGTCACCATGAGCCACACAGCAACACCATCTCTGGAGCCACCACATGGAACAGCATGAGCATGACATGCCTCTCGTTTCTGGGATGTGTCCAGCCCTTGCCCCCGTCCTGTTGGGGTTTGGAAGAGATGCATCTGCTCCTCTACTCTGCCCCAAAATGCACTGCTTCAAGAACAAAACAGCACTGGAAGGACTTGAGCTCATGTGGTTCATGGGCAGATTTCTTACAGCTCAGTCTGGGGAATCTCACCGTGGGAGCCCTGCTCGACCTAGGGCAGGTTGGCTCCTGGCTTCCCTGTGCCTTAGCTTCACTTTCTCAAGCTGACTGTAAGTTGTATTCACTCACCTTTTCATTCCAGGTGGAGGAGCTAGATATTGTGATAAGCGCCAAGGCACACAGCCTGCGCTGAAGGAACTGACAGTCAGTCAGAGGGGCCCCCAGGGTCGGCGAGCTGCAACGTCCTGTGGTACATATTATGATACAGCTATGGAGTGGAAAGGTGGAGAAAGGATAAGGAGGGACCTAGATCTTCCTAATGGAACTAGGGGTGGGGGCCATCAAGGAAGGATTATCCAGGAACTGACAAGTGAGAAGGTTCTAGAAGGAATTCCCCAGGGGGAGAAAAAAACAAGCCAGGTGTAAATAGGAGAAGGGATGTTTCAGCCTGAGAGAAGAGCACAAGAAAGCCAGGGACACCAGAAGCCGGGCAGGACACAGACCCCGGGAGATTCTTCAGTGTGGCTAGGATGTAGGGTGTGAAGAAGGAATGAGATGTAAAAGGCTGGCAGGGCCAAAATAGCAAAGAACTTTAGATACTTAGAATAATGCATTTAGGGAACTTTGTGAATTAGTCCTCTGTATAGAATAGTATCCCCAGGATCCACCTGTAAAACCAGTCAGTTGAGCCATTTTCAGATGGCATCAGGGAGAAAGAAGAATAGGAAAAAATAATGGAAGTACCCCTTCCTTTAAGATTAACCTTTTTGCTGCCTTGGATGAAGGTCAAAGGTAAATCAACCTAGAAACGCTCTTTCTTAGATTACAAACTCAACTGGTCATTTTAATGGAAGGAAAAAGTGAAGTCAGAAGAATGAAGTGCCTTACTCAAGTTAGTAGGAGGGCTCAGACATAAACCCAAGTTATCTAATTTCCAATCCAATCCAACACCTTCATTCATAACATGCTAGAAACAGAAGATAAGCCACCTTAGGGAGTCTCGTTTTATACCTGAGAAAACAGAGATGTTCAAGAAGTCAAGCGAGGTCATGAAGTCTTAAAGTTTCCAATGACAGAGGCACAACTTGGATTCAGAACTCGAAACTGCTAACCCTTAACCCCTAAGGAATGTTGAGGCATCTCTTCTCCTATTCACACTGACTTGTTTTTTTATTCACCTGGGGAATTCCTTCTAGAAACTTCTCAGATGTCAGTTCCTGGATAATCCTTTCTTGACACCACGCCTCCCCCCCCTCCCCCGCCACCCACTGCAGTTCCATTAGGAAGATCCAGGTCCTTCCTTATCCCTCCTCCCACCTTGCACTCCATCACTGTGTCATGATTCAGAACTCATCTAATTAACTACAAATCCCTTACTCCCATCACAGCAGGGGAAGCAGCTCTCCTTGGAAGTGGTGACTGGCACCACCTTTGTTAGAGAAGGAGTGCATCATTCTATAGAAGCTTAGGGAGGTCATGGGAGGTGATTTGCAAAATTTACTACCCCATGCTTACAGGATCCTTTCTTTTTTTTTTTTTTTTTTTTTGAGACAGAGTCTCGCTGTCACCCAGGCTGGAGGGCAATGGTGCGATCTCAGTTCACTGCAACCTCCGCCACTCAGAGGACCCTTTCTAAAGCATTTTCTGGAGAGTAGGGCCTGAGAATTGTGACTTCGCGGAACCTTTCCCAGCCTTCTCCACAGAGCTCAGCAGTCTCCTATTTATTGTGTACCTGGGCACCACATTCTATGCTAGCCCAGTGTTAGGAACACCTTGCAGGCAGACCACCTCTCCTGGGGAGTAAAACAAACACACAGAGTCCCTTTCTGGATCCCAAGCTCCCCACCTGCAATGTGCGAGCAGTTTGGAAGAAAAAGCTGAATTCTTCCCAGCCAGGCAGAGACAGACAGGTTGTCACCCGCCTTCGGTGGCCCATACTTTCTTTTCCTGCAACTGAATTTGTAGCTCTTGGCCATCTTGTCCCTGTGTGGTTTTGGCTGTCTGCTTTGGTCTCTTGGCTGTCACAGTTTGGCTTTGGTAACTGAGGGGAACATCTCATATCTCAGAGACATGTCAGGGCCGTGTAGCCTGACCAGCCTCGCTACAAAGCCATTTCTCTTATGAAAGCTCCTCAAAGAAGCCCCTTTGCAGTTTATGGTGGGGTCGCTAGGAACCAATGAATGCACTTGGCCAAGCTCTCAAAAAGGAAAAGCACACAAGAAGGAGGAAAGGACGGTGAATATGAAGGTAGAGAAGGTTGAGAGAGGTACGTACAGAGAACAACAGAGTGTACCAGGAGTCACTAAAAAAAAAAAATCAATTCACGTATTTTACTGTTCATGGCTTCAGCACACATGTATTGATAGCCCTCTGTGTGCCAGCACTGTTTCCACAGACATGCCCAACTGACCTAGGTTTGCTGCCTCATTCAGAATCATGCAGACTCAAGTCCTGTCATTGCGGGGAAAGAGGATCTAGAAAGCCAAATCTTCCAAAATGCCAACACTGAGCAATTCTAGCTGGCTCTTCACATCAACAAACTTCTCCGCTCTGCAGCCCAAGTCGCTTTGCTTTGCTTGTGGATGCCTCAGGACGCCTCCCCCATCCCTGTGGAGAGCGAGTGAGGCATCTCACTGCACACTTAGAAGGGAGAAGCAACTTCCAGAATTACCCTGTTATTTTCTAAATAAGCTTTTAATTTTGGAACAATTTCATATTTTCAGAAAAGTTGCAAAGATAGTACAAAGAGTTTCCACATATCTCTCACCCAGTTTCCCCTAATGGAACATTTTACATTACCCTGGTATGTTGGTGCTTTACTATTAGCTAAACTCCAGACTTTATTTGGATTTCCCTAGTTTTTCCCCTAAATAGGTATTTTTTTTTTCTGTTCCGGGATCTTATCCAGGATCCCACATTGCATTTAGAGAATTTTGTTTTGAGGCTCACGTACACTTAGAGAAAATTACTCGAAGTAAATGAGGCCATTTCTAAGTGTTCAGAACTTGGACTAATAATTCCGAAGGATGAGTCACATTTCCCCTTTGTTTTGTGTCTGTAAGCACAATTTAAATAATTAACACAGCAAACAATCATTTCTAAAAGAAGGTTTTAACTTTGTTTTTTGTTTTTGGGTGTTTTTTTTAAAGTTGCAAAACCCATTTTTTACTCCTGCCTCCCCTTCGCCCAGAAACAGCAGCAACTAAGTCTTCTGACTGGACGTACAGAGATTTCCCCACAGGGCCAGAATTCCAGCTCTTTGGAGTTCTGTGAGCCCCAGAGAGGATGACAGCAGAGTTCATTTTGCCTGAGGGTGTGATGGAAGGTTCTGCCCTCTAACAAATGAGCAACACCGCCCCCTAAAAACTCACACGGAAGTTGTGAGGCTGAAGCTAGGACAGATTCCTCATTAAGAGCTCAAGTCTACAGATCTACAAAGTGTTGCTTAGCATTTGTGTGACATCTTTCCATGAAGAAGTTCCAGGATGGCGTGGCCACAGTCGTGTTTAGAGCTGGGTGTGCCCAAGGACCCCCAGCTGTTGTGCCGAGGGGTCTCGAAGCAGGTTAGGATGGAGAGGCTCACACAACAGTCACTCCTCTTCTAATGAACCCTGCTAATTCCCATAAGATAGCGTTCAGCTGACTCATTTTTGCCACAAATTCTGCTTTCCTCTTGTGAGTGAACTAACATATCAGCTTATTTATCTATTTAACAAGGGGGAGGTTTTGTTGTTGTTGTTTTCTTTGAGATGGAGTCTTGCTCTGTCTTCCAGGCTAGAGTGCAGTGGCACGATCTTGGCTCACTGCAACCTCCGCCTTCCAGGTTCAAGTGATTCTCCTGCCTCAGCCTCCCTAGCAGCTGGGACTACAGGCGCATGCTGCCACGCCCGGCTAATTTTTTGTATTTTCGGTAGAGACAGGGTTTCATCGTGTTAGCCAGGATGGTCTCAATCTCCTGACCTCGTGTTCCACCCACCTCAGCCTCCCAAAGTGCTGGGATTACAGGCGTGAGCCACCACACCCGGCCTAACGAGGGGGAAGTTTTTAAGGGTGATAGCAGGGACTGTTGTCATTCATATGATTATTCATATTATTGCCCAAGTGTTGCGTATTTTCACACATAGCCCATGCTTAACAATACTTGCTCTTTGCTAAGTGTCTGAGATGAATTAAACCCTAGAAGAGCAACAAACTTCAAAGAGCTACTCTGGAAAACACTTAGTGTTTTGTTGGCTGTGAGCAGGTGTGAAAAAGGCAGACAATGGACAGAAGGGGCAGAAAGGAGGCCATTCACCTCCCATGGATGTCGTCAGAAGTTCAGAATCTGGGCATGTTTCTTGGTTTCTTTTGGGAGGCACCTTTCACTGTGCACTTTTGTATCCGATTCACAAATTCTTTTAAAAGAAAAACATAATCCCAGGAAAATTATCTTTAGGAATTTAACACCATTTTGTCATTTTTTTCCATAGAATAACACAAAAATGATTTTAAGCTATTAATACAAAATATTTTTGTAAATAATTGAAAAGTGATTTTTACTACAATTTAAAAAATATTCTGTTTTTCCTCATTTAATAAGAAACTTTCTGCACTTCCTTCTTTACAGGAATTATGCAATTATGTGTTAACAAACTATGAAATTATCTGCATTATGTTTGTTTTTAGACTGAATTCATCTTAACATATATTACAATTTATGTGTGCAGCATTAAACAAAATGGGTTTATTTATATAATTTTATTGTTTTGTTTCCAAATGAAAAGAGAAAGGATTATGGATTGCTGTTTATAAGTTCTTTGCCACAAATAATGCATTGTAGGGTGGATGGTAGATGTCTATACAAATAAAGATTGTGTTTATTGGATTGTCTGCTCTTGCATCATATGCAAATAACTGGATGGATTTTCACCAAATATAGAGGGTATGTTTGAGATAATATAACCTGAAATATAGTTTATATGGCAAAACAATTTTCCATGTGGGCACCTAAGAACCAGTAACAGAGACAGACATTCTCCCAAGCAGCAGAGACAAGTCAAGTTAGAGGATCCTGTGACACCAGGCAGAAGTAACACGTTGTAAGCACCGGGACGTACTGGACTGGAAAATAGAAAAGCAATGATTTTTAGATATAAGCCCCAAATTAAAAATCAATAGAACAAATTTTCCCAGTTGCTAAAGTTAATTTGTGGTGGAGCTACTTCTCACCTGGGGAAATCAGTGCACCTCTTGGGTAATCAGCAACAGGGACTTATTTATTTCATGATTGAGAATACTCTGCCGTGCAGCATGAGGAAGCCCAGCCAGACCCCAATAAGTGAAAAGCCAAACTGGGTAAGATCATCACTTAGATGCTTTCTGTTTCATTTTGGTATTTCTCGATGTGTTGTGAAGAATTTTGATGAGATGAATACAACTTTAGACCAGGTATAGGTTCTCTTGAGGCACATTTGCAGAATGAATATAATTTTTTCTGTTCTTCATTAATTCGTTGTATTTCTTCATTAGTTTCTTATGCTTTCTGACTAACCCATGGCCACTGTGTGAATAACTGAACGATGTTTGAGTAAGATTACAAACAAGTGATATAGCATAATGGTCAAAAATCTCAGGGCAACTAGACATTTTAGCCAAGCCATAAACTGAGTGCTGGAGTCATGAGCAAGTTCCCTGATCTTGACCAATCACACATGTTCACTCAAGATGTGCTCAGGCTTTTGCACAGTTTCATTAACAATGTGTTTATATATTTAGTTGAATAAGAAATACATTTCACACGTTCAAACATTGGAAAATGAAAAGCATATTGTAAAATCTTTTCTTATCCTATAGCCCAGTTCACCTCCCTAAAGACAACTGTTTTACAATTGGCTTGGTCTTCTGATAGAGATATATTATGCAAATGGAAGCAAACATGTATATTTATTACTTATTTATTTATTTTTCTTAATGAGACTTCTTGAAAACAATCCATATCACTACAAAATGAGATGCCTCATTCTCCTTAATGCCTGCAATTCAATTCCATTATATGTATGTAGCATAATTTATTACATTCTCCCCTCTAGAGGGGAAGAATATATATATATTTAGTTGAATAAGAAATACATTTCACACGTTCAAACATTGGAAAATGAAAAGCATATTGTAAAATCTTTTCTTATCCTATAGCCCAGTTCACCTCCCTAAAGACAACTGTTACAATTGGCTTGGTCTTCTGATAGAGATATATTATGCAAATGGAAGCAAACGTGTATATTTATTACTTATTTATTTTTCTTAATGAGACTTCTTGAAAACAATCCATATCACTACAAAATGAGATGCCTCATTCTCCTTAATGCCTGCAATTCAATTCCATTATATGTATGTAGCATAATTTATTACATTCTCCCCTCTAGACGGGCCCATTTCAGTATGTGGGTAGCTGGGATGTGGGTGCCCTCTGGCCAGATGAAAAGTGAGTCAATTGGCAGATAGATGGATTTGAATACAGTCTTCCTTACATGTTTAGTAGAACCTCATCTTCAACCTGCATGTGAAGCACCTGGCCTCACGGTCTGGCAATTTGTACTGGCGTAATTCTAATTGGGCACAGAACAAAACACTTGAAAGTTGCTGTATTTTGTTTCATCTGCCAGCATCTGCGAGGCGAAGAGCCAGGCATTATTTCCCCAGCCAGGGATCTTATTACTTAGGTGGCTGCCCATTGTAGGGTGGCTTGAACACCCTGTCCTACTTTCACAGGGCTTTAGAGATTACAGAGACTGCTGGAATTAGGGCTCATCTACTCTAGGTATTTTAAAGAATGTTTGATAACAAAACAAACCATCCATAATGCTCATTCCCGTTCATTTACATCAGGAAAAGTTTTTAAATGTGGGCAGGGATAGATAAGAATGACCAAATTATTCCAGAATTGATTTAAAAATACAACTAGAGCCATTACCTTATCAATGATTTGATTATTGCTATTCCAGTTTACCAGCAAACTTTTTAAAAGCAGAATTTACTCTTCAAAAACAATTTGTAACAATACTGTCTAGTTGTCTTTTAAAAAATAACTTCAGTAGAGTTGCTTAAATATTCGGCTAAAGTTATGGGTGCCCCCATCCAGGAGAGCAGCTTACTGGTGAGAAGACCCCAGAAGCAATAGGTACTTCAGTGGTGGGGATGGGGAGGGAAATGGGGCAGAGACCAAGGGAGTTAGAAGAGAAATAACCAGATGTGGACCCTGTCAGGGAAATGTGTGGTAGATATTTCCCCAAAGGAGCCTCCCATAGATCCACACTATGTACCACAAAAATATCAGCATTTCGATGTCTGCTACATGAGGGCATTGGCTGTAATGCCATTTAAGTAAGACATACCCATCCCTTTCCTTGTTTTCATCAGCCCCAGCCTAAATACTCTGGAAAACCCAGAGTCCCAGAAGAGAGAGTCTTTGCAGACAGTCAGACAATGCACTCCACCCACTCCATTCTAAGTTCAGATCAACAGCTTTCCCACACTCTGAAATCTTCATGTTGAAGCCTTGCTGGGTCGTAGGGGAAGGAAACTGGAATTAGGTTTGAGATTGGAGTTTTAATCTAAATGGGTTTCTGATAACAGAATTTTATTAAATAGTAATAGGATCTGCCCACTTTGTCAATATGGGGAAGGAAAGGATATTTAGCATAGTTTAATTGGGGAGGCAATAGAAAAAAACCTCCATTCATGCTTTCTTCTGAGTTCAGACCGCTTCATAAACCCATTGTGAGTGTGAGAATTGCAATGACAGAAAGAAAGAAGGGTGCCGTGAGAGGGGCGCCCCGCCTAGGAAACAGTGTGAAGGCCCAAAGAGACAGGGCTGCAGCTGATAGAGCAGCATGTAAAAGTTGGAGTAGGTTAGGGGAGAGGTGGTGAGAGATGTTAGCAAGGGAATCAAGGACCAGATCACAAAGGACCATGTAAGCCTTGGTAGGGTAGCTGGACATTATTTTAAAGGAAACGGGAAGTTGTGGAAATGTTTTAAAGCTGGGGGGCAGGCAAGGGGAGAAGCAAGATGCAACATGGATCGGAGGAGACAGAGTGGGGGCTGTTGCATTAATCTAAGCAAGAGATGTGAATGAACTAGCCCAGGATGACTGGCAATAAAAACGAAGAGCATTGGAAAGACTGAGATAGATGTGAGAAGTAGCATCAGCACAATGATTCGTGAATGGCTGGTTGGATGGTGGGGCAGATGAAGTAGGGAATCATGGAGAGGATGATACCTAGATTCTACTTTTCTGATCTTGAATTGATGGTGCAAGTAGGTCACTAGTAGCCTGTCTGAAAGTAGACCAATTGCTTAACTTCAACCCTCTGAATGTTGTCCAGTTCTCCCAAGTCTTTAAAATATCTTCTACCCACAATATTGACTGGAATGCTTAAATCCTAGCTAAGCAAGCCGATTAGGGACCAATTAAAGGGCAAAAAGCCTAATCATTATGAGAAGGAGCGTGTCAATTAGCTGCCACTGGAATAATGCTGAATAATAGAGCCCTCCCAAACTCATTTTCTTAAAAGAAAATTCATTTACTCTCCTTGATCTGTGCGTTGGTTGGGGCAGATCATTTACACTGGACTCCATGGGGCACATTGCTTCAACTGTGGGTCTGGGTGACTCCAGTCCATATAGTGGTTATTCTGAGCTGAAGAAGTAGTAGTTACTTAGAGAAGGTAAGTCTCATAGAGATGGTAGAACTAGGAGAACAAACCCAATCACCCAAGTGCTTTTCAAGCCTTTGATCACATCACATCATTAACATTATATTGGTTAAAGTAAATCCTATGGCTAAGACCGAAATTCAGGGGCAGGGAAGTGTAAAGGTGAAGGTGCGGTGGAAGCGAATATTTCTGGACAATAATCTAATCTACCACAAGGATATAATAGAAGTGTTTCCTCCCCCTACATAACTCTACAGGGTACATTATCATAGGTTGTGAAGTTAGACAGAAAGAATAAACTTCCTACAGCAAGCACAATTGCTGTGAGATGAAGCAATATTCGAACTCAATAGAGTGTGGAAAGAAATTCCAACTCCACTGAAAATTTCCATCATTGTATAAGTTAGAGGTCCTGCCCTACAAGGACTCATTTCCTTCCAGACGTTATGTCCAAAATTTCTACAGCCGCCACCAGGTGAGCAGTGCTACCTGATTTATGACAATGTGGACCAGACGGTTAAGCAGGCAAATTGGAGAGAGACCAGACACAAAACATATAATTCAGTCATTTATGAATTTTGCACCAGAGTATAACTTTTGATTCAAACAACAGTATAAATATTTAACCTCTTGCTGTGTAGAAGTGATCCTGTATTCAGCTTCAACTGTTATTAATCACTAGTTAATGTAACTCTGGTTTTAACTTCCATACTTGAGGTTAGAAACTTCAGGGATGCACACAAGACTGTCAGTATTTGACCTCAACACTGAGGCCTTAGAGAAGTTTTCCCGTAAAAGCCTTTGCTAGTGCCTTGCATTTGATTTGCAATTTCCCTCTGTCTTCAGTGATAAGAACACCGTTCCCTTCGTCTATTGCATTCATGACAATTTCTATGCCCTCAGAACAACATTTTTAAAAAGTTTTAGGTGTGTTGCTGACCTCTTAAAGTAGGTGAAATTTCAAATCAAAATCCAGTTTTCTGGCTTTTCTTGGCATGTCAGATCTGGCCACTCCAACCTTGTATTTGTAGGTTATGATGACTGGCGGGGGTCCGGCTGTGCTGCCCCCTGCAGGTTGGACATGAATTCTCCAGTCCAACCCCTGGGCCTACGCTTACATTGCTGGCTTGGCTGGAGGCACTTAGTCACCATCCTGCCCTTCTATCTTTGCACTCTCTTTGCAGGAATGATGGCCTCACTCTACCCCGTGTAATTGCTGTCTGTGTACAGCTTCCTCTCTGCCAAGAGAAGTGAAATTGATGTGTCTCTCCCCTCCATCTCTGTGGCATCTTATTCCATATATCCTCATAGGTGAGAAGACCGCTCTCTGTGTCAGCACAAAAGCCTGTGGTGGCTGCTTTTCAACCAGAAGAATGTCTCCCTGGCCACCATCCAACCACCTTCCCATCCACTTTTCTTTATGGCTTCTAAATCTCAGTTTATTTCAAGTTATTTTGCATATATACACAAGTTTCTAAAGATTATTCTCTACTGTAGCGTCTCCAGTTTACACTAAATGATTTCTTAAAGTGGTATGTTTTCTTTAGAAGACATTTGGAAAACCACAATTTTTAAGCAAAATTATACAATGATTTTTTTTCACACCTACTTCACAAGTTTGTTTTTTTTTACAATTCTCTGTCTCTGAAAATGTCTAAAGAGTTTTCTACTGAATATGGAAGGGCCTACGATCCCCCTGGTGACCCTTCTTGGTTTCTTCAAGCTGTAAAAACTTTTAAGTCTTCTTTTAATTAATTTTCCAAAACATTCTGACTATCTACCCAAGGATTTCAAGGTGGATTCAATAACAATGATAAATATAAGAGCAGCACATCTCAGCTGCTAACAAAATTCTCTCTTAATCACAAAGTGAAAGACAAAATCAATATAATTTCAAGGGAGAATAAAACAGTGAAAGGTTAGCATTCTGCCTTGCTTAGAAATTGGGGTAATTATTTTTTTTCTGAGTTGCCTGTGAAAGAAAGCACACGTGTCTGTGGTCTCAGCTTGTCCACTGCTGCATCATCAAGAGAGCTCATGAGTAAACCAAAGGCAATTCCAGAAGCCCACTGAATCCCACCAACATGGAAGCCCCCAGACTCCTCCTAGGCAGAGGCACATTCAAGAAGAATAGACTTAATCTAGCATTTAGACACATCTCATGCTCCTGAAGAATCTATTTCTGGCTCTAGACTTCATTATAAATGTCAGGACACGGTGTAGTAATGGTTACAAAGGCATCTTCATTATAAGTCCCTCTTCCTAGACACTTGCAGTTTTTTGAATAAATTACCCTTTGGGAACAAAATTTCTCCTCAGCATAAAGGTAAATTTGTATGGAAAGCTTGACAAAATCCAGGTTATCTTTTCTTTTTGGTACGTGACAATACCAGCGTAAAGGCATTGAATGACACCTTACACTAGAATCTTGGGGGTATTCACTGACAAAGTTAAGATGAGGCAACCTGTTTGGGTGGTCTCAGTATTTACAGTCTCATTGTTTGATTTCATAGTTAGTCACTACAAAAGAAGAGGTTCTGAGACAGTGGAGGGAAAAGAGAGAGGGTCGATCTCTGTTACTCTGGTACATACATAGTCACTGTCCTTCTTTCTTTATTGGGCTGGAGGCTGGGCGGCTGCTATAATCTGTTTTTTTGTTTTGTTTTGTTTTTTTACCTCTCCAAATGTCATGTTGAAGTTTGATCCCCAATGTTGGAGGTATGACCTAATGGGAGGGGTCATGAATCGATGAATGCCCTGCCTGGGTGGAGATGGATTCTTACTTTATTAGTGCCCGAGAGAGCTGGTTGTTGAAAAGAGCCTGGCACCTCATCTCTTCTCTTGCTTCCTCTCTCTCCATGTGTCCTCTGCACATGCCAGTTCCCCTTCACCTTCCACCGTGAGTGGAAACAGCCTGAGCCCTCACCAGAAATAGATACTGGTGCCATTTTTCTTGTACAGGCTGCAGAACCATAAGCCAAAACAACTTCTTTTCTTTAGAAATTACCCAGCCTCAGGTATTGTCTCATAGCCACACAAATGGATTAAGACAGCTGCTAAGATCAAAGGTCATTTTCTATAGGGCCAGAATTAAAGCAGGGAATCCTTTACCTTTACAGGTAGCAGGTGATTCTCAGGGCAAAAAGGTTAGCTAAGTGAAAATGTGAGGGAAGAAAAGCTGAGTTCAAACACCAGCTCCAGGAAAGCAACAAGTGGAGATCAAGAGTCTGGAGTCAAGAGTTGGGTTTTATTGGAATGAAATTGGAATGAAACTGGTGAAGTGTTGATTGGGAAGAAGGGTCTGCCTTGGGCCATCACCTCAGCTTGTCAGTAGATGGAGAGTTTGATGATGCCTCCCAAAAGGGTCCCCGGCAATGTGAAGAAGGTAAAAAACTAAGGCAATGATTTCATGGATCCGTTTCCATGACCCCACCATGTTAGCTGGAAATGCAAATGACTGGACATCAATGCTACTAACATAACCTGAACATCTTATCGGTCCTCAGAGTCAAAATTCAGAGTAGGTGCTTGGGTTTGGAGACAGATGACCTCCTGTGTAATTGAATAGTTATTCAACTGCTTTATAGTTTTTGGTTTTGAGTGGCAAATCCTGAATTCTCTACAAGATCTAAACAATCAGTAACTGTGATTGCCCTATATAAGTCATGCTGAATGCTTTGAATTAATAAGGATTTTTAGTGAAAACTTGAATGTTTGAAAAATCCTGGGCTGTATCTTACTCCTCCCCACTGAGTGGGTGTAGAGAGATGGGCTGCAATAGCTCTCCTTTAACATCACCCACAGCTGCTGTGTGTGAAGGGCCTCCTTACAGCCAAAAAAGAAAAATTTCTCCTTTCACCCTGGAGGCTCTAATTTCTTCTATATTCTGTCTCCTGCCTTCCCTGCATGTGTGGGTGAATGGTAAATGCCTCTGACATGTTTGAATAGACCTGTGTTAGGAATGAATCTCCAAGGCTTTTAAAAACCACCCACCGAACAAGTAAAAGTTGTCTTTCTCACCCCGATAGAGATTTTCCAACTTTTTAATAAGGTATCAAGGTAGAAAATGGGATGTACATTGAGCCACCACACTAGTAATGAACATCCAAGGATTTTTTTCCTGGCACATTTATAGCCCAAATAGACCCTTTAGATCCCCAAGCATTCTGTAAACGTTGACTTATTGGATCTCTGCAATCCTTGCAGGATGTGGAGAAGGCAGCCCCCATTAAGGCTCTGCCTCTCCAGGGTCCAAGTACAGTTAGAAGAAAATTCCACAGCTGAACTAAACTCAAACAATGATAACTGAGCACCTTGCCAAAGAAGTAAAGAAAAGGATTAGTTGGGCAAATACTCCCATAATTACACTAGAAATCCTCTTTAAAACAGGGATCATTGGAACAATATTCTTGTGAGAAAAGGGGAGTAAGATTGGTGGACACATTTAGATTCTGCTTACATTAAAATTCTATCTAGAACAATCCATGGTAGAAAATGATTTGATTATTTTCTCAAAGCAATAAGATATATATTACTTTCTGCTTCAGCATCAAGTAACTGAAGATTTCTGTAGCCACGATGGCCTGTGCCTGTATCCTAGGAAGATAGTGACATTGCTGGGTCATATTAATAAGGGTGTGGATACTCACAGCCCTTTCCAGCTGTCAGTCAGTGCTCAAGCTGAAGGGTGAAGTTTTTTCAAGGTCCTCAGCACTCTATAGCAACTCCTATCCAATTAGCACCAGCACTGTCACTTCCACACCAAGGGACTACTATTTTTCTCTGATTCCTGCACAACAGAACAGCTCCTCCTACCACTCTAGTTTTCTTACCAGTCTGAACATTGAGTTCATTGGCCTGTGAACTTTAGTCATGCTCCTGGAATATGTATACTTTCTGCCACGCTGAGGCCAATTCACTCTTAAGGACTGAGCTCAATTGTCTGTCCTCAAATCTCCTGCTCTCAACTCTTGTTTCCCTTTTCTGTTAACTGTGCTTCATCTTGACTTTTTTTTTTTTTTTTTTTTGAGGCAGAGTCTCACTCTGTCGCCAGGCTGGAGTGCAGTAGTGTGATCTTGGCTCACTGCAACCTTCGCCTCCTGGGTTCAAGCGAATCTCATGCCTCAGCCTCCCGAGTAGCTGGGATTGCAGGCATGTGCCACTACACCCAGCTAAATTTTTTTTTGTATTTTTACTATAGACGGGTTTCACCATGTTGGCCGGGATGGTCTCGATCTCCTGACCTTGTTCTTTTTGTTTTTATTTTGTTTGTTTGCCTTGTTTTTCTGTGGTGGAGTGAAATTTGCTGAATATAAGCCAGCCCTGCTAGGCGTAGTCTTGCCAAATGACTGAGCACACAGTCCAGGGAAGGAGAACATGAGGACCCTGTGTCCACTATGGCTATAAGCCCAGGAGCTGAACAGTTGGAAGGAATGGTCTGGCCACAGGCTTTCCCTGTCTCTCACCATGTGGAAGGGGTTCAGGACTCTTTACACAAGTCTTCCTTGTTTCCTGACTAGCACTTCTGTTCCCTTGCTGGAATGGCCATGACACTCTGACTGGTTCTAAAAAACTCTTGGAGGACAGACCCTGCTTAGATCAAACACCAGAGAAAAAAAGCCCCTGTGACTGCATCCAAATCAGTTTCATTTTTTACCTTACCTGAAAGAACATAGGCATCAAAGAAGCCAAAGGTCCTTAGTCTTAATTGCATTCAACAAACTTTTGCGGAGCCTGTCTATGTCACAAACCATCAGTAATTAATACTTGGGCTAGGTGGCGTATAGGGAGTATTTAGGAAGGGAGGATTCAAACATGACTACATCATGGTGGCTACCTTTGTGGAGATTACAGTGAGCTTGAGAAAACCTCATAAATAGCTAAGTTCAATATAAGTCAGATTATTATAGCTAGTACAATAAAATTTTCATGGGTCACAGGAGTGGGAGAAATCTACCTTAATTGGTGGACTACAAAGTGCTTCTTAGAGGAAATATCATTTTACCTGGATGCTGAAAAATGAAGGGAATATAATAGGTAGAGATGGAAGTGGAGGGAAACAGGTGAGTAACATGTAGGACCCAAAAAAGGGCAAGTAATGTGGGCTCCAACAGGGTATCCTTATGTCTGAAATCATGGGCTGGTAAAGGAAGAGAAGTGGCAAGAAGCATAGATAGGAAGAAGGGCTGGAGTTCACAAGTGGAGAATCTTGTTGAGAGAAGGTCCTCTGGCTATAAACCAGCCTACCAGTCTTCACACAAATGCTTATGATCCCTCAGCTTCCAGCATTGCTTGAAACAAAATCTTGACCTGACAACTGTCCCAAGTTTTGAGGTTGGTGCAAAAGTAATTGCAGTTTTTGCATTGCTGAAATTTGCCATTTGATATTGGAATATAGTCTTAAATAAATGTGGTTATGTTATACATCATTTTAATGTGCATTTCTTACTTTATTTTTTTGCTAATGACTTATTACTTGCTGTTTATTTTATATTTATTTTAGACTATGGAAATGATGTTAGGCAAAATGCAAATTGGAGTGATTTTCTTATTCGAGTTCAAAGTGGGTCATAAAGCAGCAAAGAGAACTCGCAACATCAACAATGCATTTGGCCCAGGAACTACTAATGAACATAGAGTGTGGTGATGGTTCAAGAAGTTTTGCAAAGGACACAAGAGCCTTGAAGATGAGGAACATAGTGGTCAGCAATCGGATGTTGACAACAACCAATTAAGAGCAATCATCAAAGCTAATCTTCTTATAGCTATACGAGAAATTGCCAAAGAACTCAACCTCGACCATTCTATGGTCATTTGGCATTTGAAGCAAATGGGAAAGGTGAAAAAGCTCCATAAGTGGGTGCCTCAAGAGCTAGTGAAAATCAAAAAAGTTGTTGTTTTGAAGTGTCATCTTCTCTTATTCTACACAACAACAGCAAACCATTTCTCAATTGGATTGTGACATGTGATGAAAAGTGGATTTTATACGACAACCAGCGATGACCAGCTCAGTGGTTGGACCGAGAAGAAGCTCCAAAGCTCTTCCTAAAGCCAAACTTGCATCAAAAAAAGTAATGGTCACTATTTGGTGGTCTGCTGCCAATCTGATCCACTACAGCTTTCTGAATCCTGGAAAAACCATTACATCTGAGAAGTCTGCTCAGCAAATCAATGAGATGCACTGAAAGCTGCAACACCTGCAGCCAACGTTGGTCAACAGAAAGGGCCAATTCTCTTCCACAACAACACTTGACCACATGTCAGACAACCAACACTTCAAAAGTTGAACAAATTGGGCTATGAAGTTTTGCCTCATCTGCCATATTCACCTGATCTCTCCTCAAGCAACTACCACTTCCTCAAGCACCTCAACAACTTTGTGCAGGAAAAACATTTTCAAAACCAGCAGAAGGTAGAAAATGCTTTCCAAGAGTTCACCAAATCCTGAAGGATGGTTTTTTGTGCTACAGAAATAAACTTATTTCTCATTAGGAAAAATGTGTTGAATGTAATGGTTCCTATTTTGGCTAATAAAGATGTGTTTGGCCTAGTTATAATGACTTAAAATTCATGGTCCAAAACTACAATTACTTTTGCACCAAACTAATACTTATTTGCCTAATCTATTCTTGACCTCCCTTCCTTATCCAAAAATGAGAGCTGCACACTCTTACCCTTCTTCTTCCCAGACATTTTTACTTTATATTTTAAAGTAATTAAAAACAATAGAAGAATGAATTTCTTTTGCCTTATTTATTCCATTTAAAGCATTCCATATATCCTTGTGTGGATCAAAGCTTCTTTCTGTTATCATCTTCTGTCTGCCTTAAGAGCTTCCTTTAACATTTCTAGCATGGTAGGCCTTCTGGAAATGAATTCTCTCAGTTTTGGTTTGTATGAGAGAGTCTTTATTTTTCCTGCATTTTTGGAAGATATTTTCACTGGGTATAGAATTTGGATCTTGTTCCATTGCCTTTGGCTTTCATGATTTCTGTTGAGAAGTCTGCTGTAATACTTGTCTGTGTTCCTCCATAGGAACACAGACTAGACACTTGCACCAGTATCTTAATTATTGTCTCTTTTTCCCCCCTCAAAATTTTCCCTTTGTATTTCATTTTCAGTAAGTTCAATTTGATACACCTAAGTGTGTTGGTGTTTTCTGAACTTCATGGATCTATGATTTGTTGTCTGTCATCAATATTGGAAAATTCTTGGCCTTTGTTTCTCTCCTTGTTTATTGTATTGAACTATCTTTGGCTCCAGATGCTGTAAGAAATTTTGTTCCTAACTGTCTTTCAGAACTTGGCAAATGGAGTCAGTTTTCAGTCTGCATTGACCTGAGCCCTTAAAACAGTAAGTAGCTAGAACTTTATTTTGCTGGCAGTATGAAAGCCACAGAAGATTTTTGAGTAGAAGAGAAGTTTAATCACAACTGTATTTTGAGAGGACATAACTGTAAATGAAGAAAAAAATGGACTTAAGTTGGTAGAGACTGAAAGCAGGGAGAATAATTAAGATACTTGTGCAAGTGTCTAGGTAAGAAGAGAATCACAAAAAAACATGAGCAATAAATGCCTCTGGGAGAGATTTTGCAGGGGTACATTTCTAACAGAATTTTCCAGATTATAGTTAGTACTGAACCACAGTTATGCAGACTACTAACAGAAATGCTGATAATTTTTATATGTTTTTTTAATGTGTGGAAAACTCTGTGGCTGATGAAGTTAAACAGGTTTCTAAATTGCAGAACTTCTCAAAGCATTTTATATGATAATCTCTAAAAGAGAGCTATAACTTGTAGTGTTTCCCAAACTTATTGGCCAAAGACTACTGTTCTCATAATGCCTCCAATAACATCTCCTGTGTTTCACGGAGCATCAGTTTGAAATACTGCTCAACAAAACTGCAAATATTTGAATACAGTATTAAGGAGTTAAGGAGGGGGTGAAGGAGAGAGAGGAAGGTGTTGACCACAACTCTGAGGTTTTCATCCTGAGTCATTAACTGGATGGTGATGTCAAAACTAAGATAGGAACATGAGAGGAGTAGCAGGCTTGGAGCAAAAATGAGAAATTCACTTTGGGGCATAAAAATAAGACCCTGGAAAGGAGAATGGTTCTTTGATATTTCCTATAAGAGTGATTCATCTCTGCATAGGAAATTTCCAACTTACTTAATAAAAAATAAACCTTACATCCTCTAAGGCCATTAACTAGAGCAAAAATCTATCTACAAAGAGAAAGCTGATTTCCAAACACTTGGCTATGGTATCCTAATATTTCTTTCCCTTTGGACCTCTCCACATTATTGCAACCACCATCATGATGGCCTTTGGGAAGGACACTGCTCACCCTTGTAAGTAAATCTCTGACTCAAATGAGAAAACACGACCTTCACATCAATACCCAATAGCATGGCTGAGACAGAGCTGGAATTTTACTAAAGATTTTGACTAGGAAAAGAAATATAGTCACAAGAAACTGAAATATGCCCTACAAACTACTACTTTCTCATGTTCCATTTGAGGCCTAATCAGTTTTCCCTCCTTCCCTCTCTTATGAAGGCCATTGCTACTTCCCTCTCTGAGGAGCCACCTGAAAGATAAGTCCAAAGTCTCGACTCTGATGGTCAGTGTGTCACACAGTAACTGCCTGACACATATTGAGTGCTTACTGACACACTTAGTAAACACTGTTGAGTTAACCAAATTTTGTTTAGAGAAAAGCAGTTTTTTTTTCCTGCCCCCAGAGTCTTGTTTTCTCCATTCTGGTTTTCTGAATAAGGACCAAACTTGTTTTCATGTGACTGTCAGTAGGAATAGCTACTACTCCCCATCCAGGAGAAAATACAAGCTTTTCCTTGTGAGCCTCGGTATGACAACCACAAAACACAACACAAATTACAAAATGCAAAACACAGTAACCTCAACCTTTACTGAATATACCCAGGGGTCCTATGTAGGCAGAGGGTAGCTCTGTTGCAGGACAGGTATGGCTACTGCAAAGGAATGAATTCAACCTTGAAGAGAATCTGGTTGTGAGCAAATGAAGTGCGGTGAGGTAGAGGAGAAAGAAGAATGATTTGAGTGCTGTTGGCCTTCTCCAGGTGTTTGAGACCAAGTACAATGAGGTCCAGGGACATTAATCACACTTGTTAGTTTCCTTCTTCATAGGTATGTCCAATCAAGGTTGGTACATATTTAAAAAGGATGCAGGTGGCACGTGGCATCCCTGTTTAGAAGGAGGTTTAGGAGAATGAGGCCTCAAACAGTGCGTCCTTATGTGACTGTGTGTAAATCTAAAATCCTGGATGAGTAACTCCTTGGAAGCATTTGGAAGCAACAACCTAAGTTATCTGGCTTCTTTTGAGTGTTTCTTGGCCCTCTCCTTCACGTAGAGGTTGCTCTCTGGCAGCCCACGGCTGAATCATGCCCTCAGAGAGAGAGCTCTTCTATGGTTGGAAAGGTGTTTTGTTTTTACTTCAATTCGTTGCCAAACTTTAATAAGCCAGAGTTCACACAAAAATTCAGATGTCTAACTTCTCATGAAAAACCAGAAGGTGTGGCAGCACTGGGCCTGCAGTCCATAATCAACCAGATCCAAGTAATACCTGCCCCATCTTCAGGCCATCAGAACCCTTCCTGGCCTATTGCATTCTTGTAACTCTAGTCCCTGCGAGCTTCAAAGTGTGCAACCCCTGGTTCAGGAAAGGACTGGCTGAGGGTGCAGTCATAACTTCAGAAGTGGGCTACACTTGTGAAATCCACCTGTAGCTTCAGGAGTTCATGAAGAATTCTGCAAGGGACAGACTACTTCTCAGAACTGCTCTCCCAGTATTTTTAGCAAAGCATGCCAGATATATTCATGGCTTTCTGCATTCAAAGAAAGCTGTTATTTAGCTATGTGTTTCATTTTGATTACTTCTGATTACCATTTGGTTAAATTCTACATAAGGCAAAATTCATTTCCCTGTGATTCCTTTGAGACAGCTCCAACATTCCAAGGCATTTTGCTCACCATGGTTGGCTCTAGTCTGGTCCCCAGTGAATTTAGGAATGTAATTTAATGACTCATTTTGCAATCTAGCCAGCAAAGTGAAGGCGAGTTGGAGGGAAAATTAAGCCAGGCTGGACCACTGGCACCTTTAGGCTGGAGCTCAGCAGCTTACAGGGAAGGCCCCTTCCTATGGGCTTAAAAAGGAAGGGTCTAGGGGGCTACAGAGAGGAACACGAGGAGTTGGCTCGAACATGGTGAGGGGCACTGGGAGGGGGCAGGAAGTAGTAGGAAACCTCAGGAGAAAAGCACAGAACCAGTCAGGAGAGGGACCCTTTGGGGAAGCATTCTGCAGTAAGATTTTATTTTTATTATTTATTTATTTATTTATTTATTTATTTATTTATTTATTTATTTATTTATGTGAGACAGAGTCTTGCCCTATCGCCCAGGCTGTAATACAATGGCATGATCTCAGCTCACTGCAACCTCCACCTCCCAGGTTCAAGCGATTCTCCTGCCTCAGCCTCCCGAGTAGCTGGGAATATGGGTGCGCACCACCACACCCGGCTACTTTTTTGTATCTTTTAGTAGAGACAGCGTTTCACCATGTTGGCCAGGCTGGTCTCAAACTCCTAACCTCGTGATCCGCCCACCTTGGCCTCCCAAATTGCTGGGATTACAGGCATGAGCCACCTAGCCTGGCCAGTAAGATTTTCTTATAGCAGAAGTTTCACACTGTCCATCCCTGGATAGAACTTGGTTTACAGATGGGTCATAGTTGGCCTATACAGTGTTTGTTTTAATTCTGAGCAAATGAGGAGATTGTACAATTTTTTGAAAATCCGTATTTCTAGTTTTTCTTGGGAAAAAAAAAACAGGCCTGTAATTCTATCACTTTGGGAGGTTGAGGCAAGTGGATCGCTCATGCCCACGAGTTCAAGACCAGCCTGGGCAACATGGCAAAACCCCATCTCTACAAAAAAAAAAAAAAAAATTAAAAAATTAGCCAGGCATGGTGGCATGCACCTGTAGTCCCTGCTACTAGGGAGGCTGAGGTGGAAGGATACCTTGAGCCCAAGAAGTTGAGACTGCAGTGAACTGTGATCGTGCCAGTGCATTCCAGTCTGGGTGACAGAGCAAGACCTTATCTCAAAAAAAGAAAAAAAACAAACAAAAACAAACCAAAAAACCAGGAAGCTGTTTACAGCATTAGGCAGGCATTCCCACGTGGCACAAACCTGCTGCAGCTCAGCAAATCCTGCACCCTTGCAAGTTGATCTTCAAACAGTCCCACTACACATGCAGTGCGTGTGAACATGCTTGCCCCGGGTCCTTCTCAGTCACCAGCATCACTGACCTGCTCCAGGTCAGTGATTTGGGTTGAGAACTGGGCTTTATGGCATAGAAAAGTTGAAAGTCAACTGACCTGTGGCTAATCCTGGCTTAGCCATTTACGATCCTGTGGCCTTAGGCAAAGCGCCTCAACACACCTGCATCTCAGTTTTTCATCTGCAAAGTGGGGAGCTTGTGAAGAAATACCGTAAGGTCCTTCCCAGCTCTAACAATTATGATTTACACAAGTATAAAACCAGCAGAAAAAATATTATTTAAATTTAATATTTCATTTAAAATACCATTTAAACATTTAAATTATTTATTATTTAAAAATATTTAATACTATTAAAACATTATTAATGACAATTTTTTAAATACTTAAGTATTATTAAAATGAATTTGGCCTGAATTTGCCTTCTAAGGTGAGGAAAGGGTATGGACATAATTGTATCAAAGGGTAAACTCCTAGTGGAGGTGGGTGGATGGGGAGGTCCTGGAGCACTGGTTGTGTAAAGGGAGTCTCAGAGCCCAGCTTGGGTATGGGGTTTGGAGACAGCTGAGCTTTTCTAAGTTAAAAACAAAACAAAATCTAGGAGCAATTGAGTTTGCAGAACTGGCTGAGGATTTCAACAAAGGAAATGCCCAACAATCAATTCTCAGTTATCTGTGTTTGGGGGGTGTACATTCCTCCCGGCTGCCTACCCTGTGGGAGACGCTTTATGTGATAGGAAGTTTGTGGGGAATCCAGGGAGGAGTTGTGGCTACCTGGGTCCTTGCAGTACCACATGGCACTGCCCTGTCACACGTCAGGAGGTGAGTGACACGCAGAGCTCCCCAAGAGGATGGGGAGCAGGCATGGGGTGAGAAAGGCAAGAGCCCGCCCGACCCCACCAAACCCCACCCCTGTGGAGTCTGGGAAGAACTCAGGGCTCCCTCTGCAGGTGGTGTGGGATTGGAGCCTGTTCATTTGAATATCCACGGAGGGGCTCCTCCGCTGAAGCCTGGGATGTCTCTGGTGAGCACATGGTCCCACTCCTTCCACGGACTGCCATTTCGGATGGAAACAGAACAAAACAGAACACCCAGGGTACTGTGGCAAGTGACTGCTCATCCCCTTGGACACAGAAGTGGAAAGCAGACAGGCGCTGCCTCGTTTGCTTGGGGGCGTAATGAAGGGAAGACTCCCAGCGGTTCAGGCTGTGAATTCGTTGCTAACCTTCCTTCTCAGGTGTCTTCAGAACTGACAAGAGGCTGGGAGAGTCCCCCGGGGTCCCCTGCTGGGGTGGCCCTCGAGGAGCTCTGAGGAGCCCACCAAGGGACGTGTGTCCCAGGGCCACCGTGCAGGCAAGTGTGGTCCAACTCCTTCCTCCCTTTACAAAACTCCAGCCTCACCCACACAAACACTGGCTGACAGGCCTTCTTAAGCCTTTTTTAACTGTTCAAAGGGAAGAGGTTTGTTATGGGGCGTGTATGTGTGTTTCGTTGTCACACCTTCATTTTCACACACCGACTCCTGCCACTCTGAGGCCTTAATCCCCGGGGCAGGAACAATGTGCTTTTCAGATAAATTGTGAATGTGCCCAGAGGGACAAGCAGACGAGAGCTGTGAGGCCAGGAGGGAACAACGAGGCATCTTGCCATGAGGTGTGCAGTGGATCGGTGCTGCCAGCTCGCTGTGCCTGCTGGAGTTATAATTGCCTTTCGGGGAGCTAAGGGCCTCTCATTGTGCAGCTTCGCTCTTCCCCCACACAGTCTTTTTCCCAGCTCTGTGACCTGGGCCATGACCTAAAGCATTTTGGTGCAGCTGTCGATTTCTGGGCCACCGCCCAAAAAAGAGAGAATAGTCCTGATCAGACTCATTCATTTATTCAAACGAAGATCTCTTATGCAACCCCTGCATTCTAGCTTCTGGGAAAAGAAGTGAACATGAACGATACAGTCTCTTTTCGTATTGAACTTACAATCTTGCAGATATGAAATGACTAATTTACCATTTATTACAGCTATTATTAGTCATATAAGAAGCTACCAGAATATGAGAGAGCTTATAAAAAGATGGCCTGTCCTGATTTGAGGCGTCAGCAAAGCCTGCTCTTAGGAGCGACTGTTTTTCATTAAGTCTCAGATGTCACCAAATGTGAGACACACCATTATTGTATGTACCACTAAGAAAAAAAAAAGTTTCCAATTAAATATGACACAAGGCTGTCTTAAGACTTAAGATATTCATTTTACCTTTAATTTGACTTTTTTAATTAAATATCATTTTGTGCATAGTTAAGAGAGGAAATATAAGCAAAATAGGTTCTTAAGGAATTCCTAGAATTTCTTTACGTTCAGAATCCATTTCTTCCTAATCACTTTCAATGCAGCGTGGTTAATGTCTAGGCTTTTCCCCACAATATCATTCCCTGTGCCATTAAGAGCACTGATGATATGATATTTCTTAAGAGAATCTATAACAGAACTAAAAGCTATTGGTACTTTGCTCTTAAGCCAAATTTGCAATTATGTAGAGCTAACCTATTTTTGATTCCTGCTTGGGGAATGTTGCCACACAGATCGGATCCACTCCCGCCCCCACTCATACTACAACCATTTGCTTGCTAGGAGTTAAAAGAGTGCTCCACATTGTCTCCGGGGCTTACTGCCAAGCCGCTAACCCCATCCTGCAAGTTTTGACGCTGATGCTGTCGCTGTGTGCACAGGGGGACAACAAGGTCCCAGCAGCTGCCAGCCAACAGTCCATGCCAACGTACGCACCCTAACTTCAGAGATGTTAAAATGTAGAAAACATGCTTTAAAACCAATAAGACATAGTCATATCTAAGATAAGATCTAATGGATGAGCAAAAACTAGCCAAGTATTCTGAAGCGAGGGAGAGCAATCGTGGTGGCTCTGAGGTGGGAGAAATGGTAGTGTGTCCAGGAGATTAAAAATGCTGGGTGGCTGGTCCTCAGAAATAGAGATGAGGCAATAAGGATGAAGTTAGCTGATAGGTAGATCCTTATAAATGGTGTTAGGGATGTGGAATTTCATCCTGAAAGCAATAAGAGTCCTTTGAAAGGTTTTCCACAGGAAGTGGATATGACAGGGTGAGTAATGAGTGCAACAATGAGATATTTAAAAGATCTCTCCATTTAGAGTCTGGAGAATGGAGTGGGTGGGGCCAAACTGGATGGTGGAAGAGCCGGCACAGGCCATCACAGCCTCATGAGAAAGACTAGCAGCTTTATAATTGGAATTTGTGGCTGCATTTGTGATCGACTGGATGGAGGATGGACAGAGAAAGAGAGGAGACAAGGATGATTTCCAGGCAACTTCTTGGCTGCAGGCACAATTCCCCAAGTCAGCAAACATTGCAGCAGGACCAGGTTTGCAGGTATGAATAGCATTGGTTTATTTTATCCAATTTTATCTGGTGTACCCTTGAGACATCTAATAGATGACATGGAGGCAGAAGGATAGACAGGTCTAGAACCCAGAGCATATATCTGGGCAGAAGAAGTCCATTTGAAAGTCACCAGAGTATGCCTGGTAACCAAAGCGATGGGCATGGATGTGATTGCTTAGGAAGAGAATGTGGAATGAGGCATAAAAAGGGCCCAAGGCTGCATCTGAGGAACTGTAACATTTGAAGTTGGGTGGAAGAGGATGAGCTGTCAAAGGAGCTGAAAGAAGCAGAAGGAGGAAGAAGTAAAACCAGGAGAGCTCACCATGGAGGCCAAAGGGTGAGTGCTGGCTCCGATGTCTCCTCCAGTGGCTCCTTAGAACTTGGGCACCCCAGAGAACTGCCTCCAGAGTGTGACTTCTTTTATATTTCTACAGTGCCTTTAGCATTTGGCTCTTTTGTAAGGTGTTTTGCTTCTAATGAGCTCAATTTCATTTGCTTTGACACGGAATATACACCTACTCGTCACCTCTCCATTTGGGCAACTTTCACCCAGCTCTCAGCAAGCTCATTAATTAGGGTCCTGGTTATAAAACTACCGAATGCTCCTGAGAAGAGAGAAAGGAGAGAGATAGAAAGGTCAGGAAGGTAAAGAAAAAAATAGAAAGGCCAATGTTTATTGGGCACCTCCTCTGTCCTGTTTCTTATGCTTATCTATTCTATGCAAAACAGTGCAGGTGAGTGTCACTATGCTCACTTTATAGAAGGCAGCAGGCTCAGAGAGGTTGAATAATTTGAACAAAGTCACACAGGTAGCACATTGTGTATACAGAGTCAGGACTCCAACTTATATCCCACGTACTTGAAAAACATTTTTCAAGGGCAGTGCCTTGTAGGATACCCATGTGTGCTTGTGAAATGCAAGCATATTGTCTGTGAAGCAAAATGGCTATAGAAGAAGCTTCCAGTGTAAAACAGAGATGGTAATAGTTGACAACAGAAGTCTAAACATGAGCCTGATGAATGATCGCCATGAATAAATTTGCTCCCTTTTCCTTGTTTAATTATATTGGCGGGTTAGACTTCAGTAAAACTATGTGTGGTGTGATAGATTTATCGGTGGCAATTACAAGTGAGAAGTCTCCTCCAATGGGTGTGTTTTAATGGGAACAGCATTCAGGGGAGTTAGCGGGCATAAGCCTATTTATTTCCCTGCCTCATTTGTTAGCTCCTCTCGGCTCAGTAGGAAACGGCTGCCTAGAGTGGCCCAGATTCCCTTCAGAATAACCATGGTCCTCATAATTCTCATTAAGGTGACACTGGGTAGAGTCTGGAGAAGGAGGAGAGGCTGTTTGAGGGCCCGACAAGTTGTAACCATCCCTCTCTGTTATTTGGCAGTGATTCTTCTGTGTGCTAAATAGCCTGGAAATCAGAGAATAACAAATGTTCCTTAAATCAGCCTAAGGGTGCCAATTCCTATCTCTCTGGCCCCTAAGACAGGGTGGCAAGGTGTGAGTAGAGAAAATGGCTGTGATCCATGAGGCTGCTTCTGGGCTTTGATCATGCAAGAAGGGCAGAAGGAAGGACGGGGGCGGAGCTTTGCCATGTTACTTTTACATGCAGATAATTATCACTGGGAGCCTCCTCTTGACCTTCAAAGAGAGCATCTGTGACATGAGAGCTTAGTTCTGCAGGAACACAGTGGGCAAGGGTGCTGCCAATCCCCAAAACACTGTTTTAGATTGTGGCACCTTGACATCACATAATTAAGGGGGCCAAAACTACCAACTGGCATATTTGAAGGTTTTTTTTTCTGTGTTAAATACAGACTCCTTTGATGAAACTTTCCAGGCGGGAGTGAGGATATAGAATAAAACAGAGGTGAGAATCACTTGAAATGTGTCTGATAGCTACCTGGGGCATTCCAGAGGGTGCTTCTACCCTCCTTTCCCCATCTTTCTCCTTCCAACAAATCTAGAGGTAAACACCAAGAAGAGTTAATGAAGAGAAGAAGTTGCTCACCCTGTAGATGGAGTTGTAGCCAAAAGATCATGATTGTGTTTACTTTTTGCAAAACAACTCGGAAACTTGAGAAGGTTTCTTAGAGTCCTGAGCCCTCTTAGAGTTAGATGGAGCCATATGATGTATTCTTGTATTCTTACCAATGGAAAGTGAGCAGATATATGTTCCTGCCACACTAAGCCAGTTAAGAGTGGATGTGCCTTTTTAGTCTCTCTCTGTGTTGACCCTTGTTTGCTGGCTAGCTGATGTCAGGGTCTCTACGAGGACACACACTGAAGATGGCTGTGCCTCATCATGAAAGGAGCTTGGATCCCTGAATGACTACATGGAACAGAACCCACTGACCGCACTGAACTGTGACAAAAGCAAGCAATAAATTTTTGTTGCACTAAATCACTGAGATTTTGAGGTTAGTCTGTACCTGCTGTTAGCATTACTTCCTCTAATATAGTTGCACAGCTAAAGTTATGATTTTTGCAGTAAGCCTTCTTCTTTCTCATCTCCTGAATCTAACAGCTTTATAAAAATCAGGGATGGTTTTATTGTTGTATGGCTTTTTGTTTTTAATGACTGTACCAACGGCAAAGCATTTGTCAAAATACTTATTAATGAACAATCAATAAAAAAGCTAATGCTAATAACAACTTGGTAATTAATCATTCAAAAGAGAAAACTGGATGTCCAGGGACTGATGTACTGGATGTCACATCCAGGTAAAATTACAGAGATTTGTTTCAGAAGGTTGTCTAACATTTTAGGACAACAACAACAAATGCTCCTTGTTTTCTCTTGAGTCTTCCTGTTTTCAGCTCTTGAGTTATCTAGCATTCTGTATCAACTCTTTGGAATGTGTCCCCATGTGTCCTTTTCTGCTAAAATGTCATGAGCTGCCCTTCAACATTCAGCATTTCCTAAACTTGGCACCAAAAGACTGTGCCTCTATTGATGTAACACAATGGTCCTCTTTTCCCCAAAGTCAGATTTCTGATTCTCTTCCCTTGAGTCCAGAAAATGTCTTTCCATCACTGTTTCTATCTTGATTTTGAGTTTGTGGGGTTGAAAGTGACATCATGGGAACCAACAAGGAATTAGGAATCAGAAGAGGTGAAAACACAAACACCAGTCTCCAATGCATCTCTGCCCTGGTGGCTTTATTCGGCAGCCCTCCTGTCCCTGAAATGCCTTCCTCATTCTTCCCAGCCTCTCTAAATCCTCCTAATGCTTCAAGGCATGCTTCAAGGCATTGAGGTTGCAGATTGAATTAAGTTTGCTAATTAGCTGGCCTTAAATAAGGAGATTATCTTGGATTATTCCACTGGGCTCGGTGTCATCACAGGGTCCTTAAACGTGGGAGAGGCAGGCAGGGGAGTCAATGTCAGAACGATGTGATGTGAGAAAGACTCCACCAGCTGTTCCTGACTTTGAAGGTGGAAGGGGGCCATGAGCCAAGGAATGCGGGCAACCTCTATGAGTCAAAAACACAAGACACTAGATTCTCTTCTAGAGCTTCCAGAAGGGATGCAGCCCTGCTGACACCTTGATTGTAGCCCAATGAGGCCCATTTTGGACATCTGATCTCCAGAACTGTAAAATGATAAATCTGTATTGTTTTAAGCCGCTAAGTCTGGGTTAATTTGTTACAGCAGTCATAGAAAACTAACACACTGCAGAGACTAAGTGAAATAGAGAATAAGGGATGTCGGTGCATTTTTTATCAAAAAAAGTTATAATAAAAGCATTTATTCCTTACTGTATCCACTTGTGGTTTTGTTTTGTTTTGTTCTGTCTAATCATTCCTCTCTGGCAGAGTTTGGGACTTATGCCTTTTTAGTATTCAACACAAAGTGATACCATATAGTAGAAGGTGGCCAGTAAACAAGGATAGGTTAAAAATACACAGTGGAAAACAGCAAACATGTTCGCTTACTCAAACTGCACTAAATTGGTGTCTTGCCAGCAACTTTTGGTGGTAAATTGAAGGAAAAGCTCACAACATGGAATAAAATCGTCATATAAACAAGGCTCTCCTGTTGCTCAGTGGTCTGGGGGTCCCAGACCACGATGGCAGGAGGGACAAGGCTAGTATAGAAAGAGCCCCTGACAAGGCATCCCATTAGCTTCCAGCTCTTAGTCCCCTGGTCTTTAGCAGAGCAGGTAACAGCCAACCATGTCTGACAGGTTTGAATTTCTGCTCATCTCCTCTTCCACTTGCAAGGGACGTGTCTATGAACAGAGGAACGCCAGAAGGTGGGCAGGAGAGGGAGAAGGGAAAGAGGCAATGAGCCTGGGCTATTTTAAAACCTTGGTAATTGGTCCCAGAATGGTCAAGAATAGGCATGTATTTTATATAATATCTACACTTAAAAGGGATTATTTTCCAAAGAGAGAAATAATTAGAAAATTCAACATTTCATAGATAATTTGAAAAAGAATCATTTGTCTTCCCCAAGCATTAGTTCACAAGCCCAAGCCTTTTTCTGAAATAAAAGCTGATGCAAGTCAAACACACTTATAGACATTTGTCTGTTAATAACTTTAATATCAGCTACCAAATAGAATCATTGTAAGAATTAACTGAATTGGTATTTGTAAAGTAAGTGCAATGGTGCCAGGCACATAGTAACTAGCATGAGTGTCATAGTTCATCATGGTTAAATCAGAGTAAAGCATCTTACATAGAACTCTGATACAAAAATAGAACATGGTTTTTCCATCTATGCAATAACACACCAGAGCTTAAAGAACAATTTGATGGGTCCAAGTCGAGTTTCTGCAACTTCCCAGCCCAAGAGAAGGAAAAGGAGCTACATGGAGATCCTCATAGACGTGGGGCAGCACCAAGGGCAGAGGCACTGAGTGGCCACCAGTCCAGACAGCTTCACTGAGCAGCCCAGCTTGGGCACTAGTAGTGTCACATCAGGAAGTTGCAAGGCTGTGGTGAGACCCCCCATGCATTTGTAAGCACATTCTGCAGAGTCTACAGAGGCCAGATCCAATCCTGATAAAAATATGCTGGTTGAATGAGTGAATTATCTGGACAAGTCACACACACACAGAGACACACATACAACCCTGAGCCTTCATTTCCCACTCTGTACAATAAAATGAATGGACTTCAATAATCTCTAGGGACCATCCCAGTGCCTTCCTGCTAATTTATGTAAAGGACTTTGTGAAAGATTATTGAAAAAGAATAGGGGAATCTGCATTTACAAAACAAAAGCAAACTAAAACAAGGTCACCAGCAACTGTTCCTCTTTCATTGCCTTTCATTTAGACTTGCAGACTTTAGGGAATATCACTTGATAATAACATATGTATTAAAAGAAAACAGTTATGATTATTTTAGGTCAGTTTCTCCAGGAACAGCTCCGAGGTAGAGATTTTCACACAGGAAGTATGTCATTGTGTGGTCTCAGGATCCACACCAGAGAGGAGTAAAGAAAGCAGTTAGAGAGGGAGGAGTTGAACTCCTTGCCGTGCAGTCACAAAAACGCCACAGTTAATTCCACAGAGAGCTCTGGCATAGTCCTTCAGAGCTGTCCCTGCCCCAGGCAAGCAAGCTGTGCCTTCATGTCCCTTTACTCCTGCTCCCACTGGCCAATCATTGACCAGTCATGTGATCTGGCTGCCACTGAAAAGGAGGAGAAGTGGCCCCTGGGGGAGGTAGCTATCTGTGGTTGAGGACAGTTCCCAGAAAGGGACCCAGCCACCTAACCACAGAAGCTGGATGAATAAGAGCCACAGTCCTTGTGTTATTTATCTGTGACTAAGAAACAAACTACCATGCTCTTAGCAGCTTAAAGTAACTCACATTTACTATCTTAAAGTGTTCATGAGGCACGTCTTAGCTGGGTCCTCTGCTCAGGATCCTACAAGGCTGCAATCAAGGTGCCCATAGGGCTGCATTTCATCTGGAGCTTGACTGGGGAAGAATGCACTTCCAAGATCATTTGGGTTGGTGGAAGAACTCATTTCCTTGCAGCCACATGACTGATGATGGACTTTTTGCTGGCTGTTGCCTGGAGGACACCTTCAGGTCTGGAGGACACATTGTTCCTAGATGTCACCCAAAGTTCCTTGCCACGTGGACTTCTCTGACACAGCCACTTATTTCATCAAGGATAGTCTCTCACCTCAGGGAGGGCCAGTCCCTCTTTCAGGGATGTTCACCTGGTTATCTCATTCTCGCCCTTTTGATTAACTCAAAACCAATGGATTTGGGACATAAATTATATCTGCAAAACCCTGTTACCTTTGTTATATTCTACTTAACGTCCTGGGGTGCTTCCTCAAAACCAGCAGAGGCAGTTTCAGGGCTGCCGCATGGGTAGGAGACAACAGTAACTAAATCTGTCACTATTGATGGAAAAGTCACAGTTGGGTGGGAGTTAGCACAGCCCTTTGCACGTAGTGGAACTCCATAAATGCCTGTTACATGAAATTTGTTGAGACTGAGAGCTGCGTTTTATGCTACATGGGAGATGTTGGTCTCTCCAATCTGAATCTTCAGCTGAATGTCTAAATACTCCTAAGTGACCAGACTGTCAGGGAAAATAATAGCCAAGTTTGACTGCCTATAAAAGTCAGCAGGAAAGTGTTCCCTTTGTCAAGTGAAGATGGCAAGAGAACTCAGAAAAAATCTTCCCTAGACTATAAAAATTTACTTTTATAAAAATGTCTTAGTATGTGGGTTACATTTACAAGCTTTTATTTTTTTTAGAAACAGAGTAGAGGGAAATCTGAAAATTGATCTGAAGATGCAAGACAGAGCCTACAGGAACCCCAAACTCCCAATGAGAGTGATTGGTCCTAGCATTTCAATGTAGGGGCCAACTCTAGCCATTGAACCTGCATGGCTGATTGACAGACCAAAATGGAGAAAATTGTTTCAGGTGAAGAAGGAAACTATATGCTTAATTCTTTATGTGTCTAATTGTCAGTTCATGCTTCAGGGTAGGTCCAACATCTGCCTACTCATCCTCATTTTACAGACAAGGAAACAGTCTTTGCCATCACATGGTTCAGAGCCCACAATGGGAGGCAGCTGAGGAGAGAGGCCATGGCTATACAGTGTGATCACTGCTCAGAGGGAGAGCGCACAGGTGTGATGGGGGCAGAGGAGGGTACCTAACTCAGGCTCAGGGAAAGGCTTCCTAACAGAATAGTCTGAGCTGACTGACTGTCTTTGCCATCATGGGGCGGTGTGGAGAACAGGGAACAGAAGGGAAGCCTGAGCCTTCTCCTTTGCAGTTTTGCTTGGAGCCAAGCTCCACCAACTCCTGTTTCTCAAGAGCCTACAAGCTGAAAATCACTTGTGTCTTATGTGGAAAAGGATAGCTTTTGGCTAATTCAACTCAAATACAAATCCATGGGAAGAGGCTGGACAGACAGACAGATGTAGCTTATACAGCTGTTCAGAAGCCCTGCTTAGGAATGCAAGTTACCTTCCTTCCCTTTGCTGATGGTAGTTTATTCTAAATATGGTTTCTAACAACTCAGATTTCTTGGATGAGTTTTGGAAGATCAAGCCCAAGCCCTCTGAGGGGAAGGATTAATATGCCCTCTCTCCCTTTCCTTCCTAGCATATTTCTCCTCTCAATTAGGTGTCTTTGCTGCCTCGTCTGGAGACCTGACCCACTCTTAGAGTTAAGAAGCTACATAATTAAAGCAACTATATCACTTATCATCCAACCTGGGAATAATTTTGAGAGTGAAAGGGATCATGAATAATAATTACTCCAAGACCACGGGCATACACTGGAGCCACCCTGGGCAAACCAGGCCTTAGGGTCTTCCTACCCATATGGATGCAGCCCTGTTAACACTGATGCACTGCAGAGCAGAAACCAGACTTTCCAGCATTCTCAGCTGCTTCCATCTCCGGGGCACAAAGAGGGAGGTGGTGCTGCTTTCTTCTTGCTTGAATTTCTTCTTGCTCCTAATGTTGCTATCCCTTGTCTAAAAATAACATTACTGAGCGGGACTTTAGATCCTTTGTGTATAAAGGAGAGAGGAGCAGATAATACAATTAAGTTTGTTGAATGCCAATATTTTAAGAAATTTGGCAATATCTCCTTTTAGAATGCTCACTTTTAGACCAGGCACAGTGGCTTTTGCCTATAATCCCAGAACTTCAGGAGGCCAAAGCGGGCATTTTGCTGGAGCCCAGGAGTTCAAGACCAGCCCAGGCAACATGGCAAAACCCCATCTCTACAAAAAAGACAAAAAGTAGCTGGGCATGGTAGTGCATGCCTGTAGTCCCAGCTACTAGGGAGGCTGAGGTGGCAGGATGACTGGAGCCCAGAGAGGCCAAGTCTGCAATGAGCAATGATCACATCACTGCACTCTAGCCTGGGCGACAGAGCAAGACTCTGTGTCAAAAAAAAAAAAAAGAAAGAAAGAGAGAGAGAGAGAGGGAGAAAAAGAAAGGAAAAAAGAGAGAGAGAGAGAAAGAAAGAAAGAAAGAAAGAAAGAAAGAAAGAAAGAAAGAAAGAAAGAAAGAAGGAAAGAAAGAAAGAAAGAAAGAAAGAAAGAAAGAAAGAAAGAAAGAAAGAAAGAAAGAAAGAAAGAAAAAGGAAAGAAAGAAAGGAAGAGGAAAGAAAGCTCTCTTTTAGCCTGTCTAAAAATTTTCTTACTGCCTATAGAGTTTGACACTGTGGTTGCTGAAGTCACTACATAGGGAATTAGACTGATGAGTTTTACAGTGAAACTAGTAAAAACTGACATGGAATGGATAAGAGTCCCCCATCTGTAAGAGAAACATATCCAAAAATATGGCTGTAAAATGAGTGATTGAGGAGGCCTAGGACACACTGAAATCTGACTCAAGGACCAGGGATATCTTCTGCCAAGAATGAAACTGATGAAAAGAAAAGCTGTAACCTAATCAATTTAATTAATATGTCTGAAGACAGAATGTCTTAACAAAAGAAGGACTGTTTACATACAGTCTAAAAGAGAAAGAATCGAATGAATATGCATATGATGGTGCTTATCCATCAAGGCCCAGAGAGAAGACGACTGAATCTTTCAGTATGGAATATCATGACTACAAAAGTGGTTTTCTTTATTAAGAAAGCCCCTCAGAGTTTGGCATGGCTTGAGTGAAAGAAATTCCCTTCCCTACCTCACCCCCCAAAAAATCCCTCCCCAACAACCCCTTTCCTTGTGTTTTAATTCTACATTTTTCAAGAAAACTTCTGAGTGACCCCCACAAGACAGATTCTTTGATTTTCTAAATCCACTGATTATTAATTAATAGTATCCTGTTTATGAACTTCACTACCAATAGTCATATTCAGCATCTGTAATTTTCCCAAAACATTAAGATTAAAGATGACAGTTTCAAAATCTGCTTCTATATAAAGTATCAAAGAAAAATTCTAACATTAATTTAAATTGTTAGACTCTAAATATAGTATCCTATGATCTGAATGTTTGAATTCCCCCAAAATTTGTATATGAAAGCCTAATCACCAAAGTGATGGTTTTAGGAGGTGTGGCCCTTGGGAGATGATTAGTCATGAGGCTGGAGCCCTCGTGAATGGCGTTAGTGCCCTTATAAGAGGCCTGAGAGAGACTCCTCACCTCTTCCACTACATAGGGGACACAGCTAGAAGGCTGTCTGTGGCCAGGAAGTGAGCCCTCACCAAACACTGAATCTGCCTTGATCTTGAACTTCCTAGCCTCCAGAACCATGAGAAATAAATTTCCATTATGAAAAAGCTACCCAGTTTATGGCATTTTGTTAAAGCAGCCTGAACAGACTGAGACACAGTAGAAATAAAACTACTGATAATATAATGTTATTGGATTTAAAATGTAGGCCAATTTAACGAAACTTTCTAGTCCTGGGAGAACCAGCTAGTAGGGCCTGGATAATATTTGACAAATGATATAAAGTTGGCAGTGTCATTTCCTCATCACCAAGACAGGGTTCATAAGGTGTCAATGAAATTGTAAGCTCTCCATGGTTCAAGAACTGACTCCCAACTCAACAGATCCATAATTTTAATCAGGTAACTGTATTGGAGTTGAATGGGATCAAGAAGCCTAACATTAGCCAAACTTATGAAGGACCAATATAGAAACCAAAATGATTATTCATTCTGAAGGGATGGTCCTTCTTTCCAGTTACAGGAACCTATGTCTTATTCCATCAGTCTTGTATGAAGCCTTTTTTTTATTTTTATTTTAGGACAACTTCCATACGTTATTTCTTCTACCCGCTGGAGGGAAACAATCAGGGTGACAATTCTTCAGATTTTTGTAACCAATTCTTGTGTGCTTCCTAAGTTATTTCTTCTCCAGGCTAAATATTCACAACTTCTTCAACTCTTCTTCATTTTATATAATTTTCAGGCCTTTTAATTTGGTGGCAAGCCTTTTCTAGAGTTACTCCACTTCTCAATGTCTTTCTGAAAATGTGAGTCTCAGAACTAAACATGATATTTAGATATAGTCTGACCAGTAAAGAATAGAGAATGATCATATCTTCTCTTGACTTGTCCAATTAAAGTAGCTCAAGTCTGTATGACTAAGAACTCCATCTATTTTTGTGTGTGTGTGTGTGTGTGTGAATTCAACTTTATATTGTGAGATAATTATAGATTTGCATGCAGTAGGAAATAATACAGAGAGATCCTGTGCAGCCATTATCTAATTTTCCCCAGTGGCTTATCTTGCAAAACTATAGTATAACATCACAGTTAGGATATTGGCATTGATAGAGTCAAGAAACAAGATATTTTCTTCACAAGGATCCCTTATTGCTATGGTTTGAAATTTAATTGATAATGTAACAATATTAAGAAGTCAGACCTTTAAGAGGTAATTAGGCCACTAGGGCTCTGCCCTCGTGTATGGATGAATGTTGTTTTTGCTGGAGTGCATTAATTACCATGGGAGTGGATTTGTGATAAAAAGAATGAGCTTGGCCCAATATCTTCTCTTTCTCACGTGCTTACTTTCATCTTACACTTTCTGTTATGAGATGACCCTTGCCAGATGCTGGTACCATGCTCTTGGACTTCCCAGCCTGTAGAGCTATGAATCAATTTTTTTTCTTTCTAAATTACTCAGTCTGTGGTATTCTGTTATAACAGCAGAAAATGGACTAAGACACTCATGCTGCTCTTTTATAGCTATACCCATTTCCTTCCCACCCATACCTTCCCCCCACAAATCTGTTCTCCATTTCCATAATTTTATAATTTCAAGAATGTTGTATAAATGGAAACACATCATGGTAACCTTTGTGATTGACTTTTTTCTCTCAGCATAATTCTCTAGAGATTCATTCAAGTTACGTGTATCAATAGTTTTATTTCTTTTTATTGCTGAGTAGTAATCCACCTAATGGATATAGCACAGTTTGTTTAACCATTCACCTATTGAATGACAGCTTGTTTCCAGTTTTCGGCTTTGAGTAATAGAACTGCCATAAAAATTTGTGTGTGGGTGTCTGTGTGAACAGAAGTCTTCATTTTTCTAGGACAAATGCTCAGATGTGCAATTACTGGGTTATATGGTAGTTGCATGTTTAATTTTGAAAGACACTTCCAAACTGTTTTCTGGAATAATTTCCACCTACTTTTTATCAAAATCTGTAATCAAGTCTGGTGTGCCTCAGTCTGAAACCAAAAAGTATTTGTTTGTGTGTGCTTATGCTTGTACATTTTAAAGTTTGGACTCAAATGTAAAATATAATATTTATCTCCTTTAAACACTAGTTTGTTAATTTCATCCCAATAGTCGAGTTGAAGTCTTCTGATCCTTAATATCTAATTTCTCTCATCTAACATGTTGACTATCCTTCTTGACTTCATTTTATCTGTACATTTTGTAACTATTTTTATTAAAGCTTTCTTCATTCAAAGATTGAGAAAAAGTTTGTACAGGGCAAAACCTCAAAACATACTGCTGGAGTCAAATTCACCAACTATAGTATCAGCTAACATGCATTTTCCTTCCTGTCCATAAAGATAACGTCAGCAAAATTTGCAAAGGATTTGTACGATTCAGATCTTCATTTACATAGATTTTCCATTTCGATCAATCTAAGCACTTCATTTTAAAAAGAGAAAAATTTAAGTTCTTAGGTCACACTATTTCACTGTGCGCATGGTTTATTTCTTACTGATAGATATTTTTTCTTCTCAGTCAATAGACTGAACATATTAATAAAACACCTTTAGTATGGGGGCCTACTCTTTTAACCAAAAGCTGCAACACTCATTTAGGGCACCAAGATTTTGGAAACATCACGATGATGGCGATGATGATGGTGGCTGTGATGATGATAATGGCGGTGGTGGTGGTGGTGGTGGTGATAATGGTGATGGTGGTGATGGTGGTGTTGGTAATGATCACAGCTAACATTTGTAACATGCTTATTAGGTACCAGACACTGTTGAGAACAAGGAAGTTCTGTTTCATTTGTATAATTATATCTATTTTCCAATAATCATATTCCTAGGGATTAGGAATGTGGATGTTCTTTTCAGACTCGCTGTATAGCTGCCATCTCATTGCCCCCAGAAGAACTTCAAGACACTAGTGAAAAAGACAACTGGGTAAAACACAAAGTTAAAAAACATTTTTGTTTATCTAATTCTTTTAGGCAGAAGGGGGCTTGAGAAGTAGTCTGATTACCTTAATTTTAATCATTATGTACTTAGATCATTTTATATCTATGTACTTTTTTATTTTAGCTCACAAAAATCACAATTTTAAGTAATTAAAATTAAAATCCAAAGTTAAATAAATAATGATTTTTCTTTGATGAAAAGCTGTTTTAGTTTTCTTCTGATTTTCAAGAAAAACATTGTTTGTGATATGTGATACAAGAAAGAAATATGAAATGTAAAGAAATAATTACAGAATTCCAAGAAAAAATAGGACATAATGTGATTTACAATGTAAGAGGACAGGAGGAAACACAAGCTACATCGTACTTTAAAGATTTATAATTACAACTTTCCCAACATAATTGTTTTATTATTAAAAAGCAAAGCAAAAAAAAAAGTTAATAAAAGCTTTAAAAATGTCGAAGATCAGCCTGACTTAAGAATCTCTTGTGCCAATTTAAAAGGCGAAAGATTTATTCGATCTGAAGAGAAACCAGTGAATCTGGTGCCAATTTAAACAGCCATGGAAGGTGCAAACCTGCACTGTGTTAGAGGAGAGATACAATAAAAAGGAAGATATTCTGCTCACGTGGAGGCGTACAACCTTAGTTATAAGCAAGAGCTCATTCCGCCTCACACTATAATGATATTCCAGAATCAGACAGAGGAGTCAGTCCCAAAATGGGATTTCTTAAAAAACAAATCAGATCTTGAAGGAAGTCGTGGTTGAAACATCCATTTATTTTGTTAAATCCAAAGAGTATTGGGTTGCAGCCATATAGACTAAACCAATTGTTACCCAGGAAGCATTGTGCTATTTTTTTAATATGTAACTTCAAAGCAGTTGAAACCAATAAGTCAGATTGAGCACAAAACAGCTACTGAGAGATAAGGGGATTCTAGCGGCTGAAAGCTTAAATGCTGGTAAGATGGCAGGGCTCTCCTAGCTGATTTATTATCACACTGAAGAGTAGTTACTACTCACGTGACCTTGGCTGACTTTCAAATAGCATGTCTGAGACTCAGTTACCTGGAAAAAATAGTAGTTAAAATAACTGCCTCAGAGCGTGTATGGAAGAAAAGCTCCTATTCCAGTGTCTTGTGCAGCAGGCAGAGAGAATGCAAATTGCCGTTTCTTTTGGTTATTTTTTGTATTAAGATAATGACTATTATTTATCAAGCATTTATGATGTACCAAGGATAAGTCCTATCTTATTATCCTATCCAATCCTCACAACTTGATGAGGAAAACACCTTTTTATTAATTCATTTTGCTGATGAGGAAACTAAGGCATGGAAACTAAGTGAATTGGCCAAGATCACCAGTTAAAGGGAGGTTGAGCCCAGATTTGAAGTCAGTGAGATGGCAGAAATCAAGGACCTGTCCGTCACATTATATGGCACTAATTAAACAACAAAATCCTGGAAATAAGAAAACTGGGTATTCTGACTTGGGCACCAGCTTCCCTGACTTCAGGCTGAATGAGCTTGGGCTTCTCTAAATCCACTTTCCCCTTCAGTTTTGTAAACAAACATTAATATTATATTTTATAAACCCATAGTAGGGGTTTCAGGAAACACAAAATTTTTTAAATTTTTACACAGACCCTGTTCTAAACAGCAGTCACTCCACCCAGCATGACTCTGACAGGCACTATTCTGAGCACCGAGGATACATCAGACAGACCAAAATCTCTGCCTTTATGAACTCCCCTTTTTTCTAAAATAAAAACAAAAATAAAACCCCACAGCTTTGTTGAGACACAATTTATATATCATAAAATTTACCTAAGTGCATGATTCAGTGATTTTTAGTATATTTAGAGTTGTGCAAGCATCACCATAATCTAAGTTTAAAACATTCTCATCACCCCAAAAAGAAGCTTCATATTCATTAGCAGTTACTCCTCATTTCTCCTCCCCAAGCCCCAAACAATCACTAATCTACTTTCTCTTTCTATAGATTTCTTATTGCGAAAACTCTGTATAATGGAACCATATAACAGGGAGTCTTTTTTGTCTGGCTTCTTTCTCATTGCTTAATGCTTTCAATCATGTATCAATAATTTCTTCATTTTAAGCCCAAATTCTATTCTATTGTATGAATATACCACATTTTGTTTATATTTCCATCAGTTGATAGACCCTTTGTTTATTTCCCTTTGTGGGCTGCTATATATAATGTGGCTATACATTAAGTATACATTTGTTTATGAGTTTTTGTGTAGACATGTGTTTTTCTCTCTTTGGAGTAGAAATCCCAGGAGTAGAATTGGTAGGTCACATAATAACTGTCTAACATTTTAAGGAACTTTCAAACTGTTTTCCAATGTGGCTGCACCATTTTACAACCTCACCAACAGTGCATGAGGGTTTCCATTTTTCCACATCCTCGCCAGCACTTGCATTGTATATCTTTTTGATGATAGCCATCCTCGTGGTCTGAAGTGGTATTCCACTGTGGTTTTGATTTGCATTTCTCTAAGAACTAATGATGTCGTGCACCTTTTTCATGTGCTTATTGACCATGTATATATCTTCTTTGGAGAAACACCTCTTCAAATCTTTTATCCCTTTTTCAATTAGGTTATCTTCTGATGGGGTTGTGGATGTTCCTTTTGTATTCTTGATAAAAGTCTTTTGTCAGATATATGATTTGCGAATATTTTCTCCAGTTCCAGGGAGTATCTTTTCACTTTCTTTATGGTGTTGTTTGAAACACAAAAGTTTTAAAATTTTTAATTTATGTATTTACTTACTTATAAATTGTGACTAAATGTACACAATATGAAATTTACCACTTTAACTATTTTAAAGCATATAGTTCAACGGCATTAAGTACATTCACATTGCTGTGCAATCACCCATCTCCAGAAATTTTATCATCTTCCAAAATTTAAACTTATATACCCATTAAATAACTTCTTAATTTCCACTCTTGCCAGTCCCTGGCAACTACCATTTTACTTCTGTCTCTATGAATTTAACTACAGTAAGTACCTCATATGAGTAGAATCATACAGTATTTGTCCTTTTGTGACTGGATTACTTCATGTGGCATAATGTCCTCAAGGTTCACTCATGTGGTGATATGTGTTCTCACAACTCTATTCCTAAGACTGAACAATACTGTATCATATGTATATACCAAGTTTGGTTTATTGATTCATCCACTGATGGGAAGATTTCTGATTTTGATAAAGTCCAATGTATCTACTTTTTTCTTGCATTGTTCATGCTTTTGGTGTAATATCTAAGAAATCATTGCCTAATCCCCAAATCATGAAAACTCACTCCTATGTTTTCTTCCAAGAGTTTTACGGTTTTAACTCTTACGTTTAGGTCTATAATCCACTTTAAGTTGATTTTTATATTCTATACATTTTACCAGTTACCTATAATGTAACAACTAGTTTGGAATTTTATGTATTAAATTCTCTCATTTGGGACTTGCACTAAATGAAGGAGTAATTTGTTTGAGAATCACTTTTTGGACAACTAGCAGACAAGGGACGCTCTAAGTGTCCCAGGTTTCTGCCTGTAAGTAATTTTCACTTCATGGCACACAGAGGGAGAGAACCCAAGCAGAGTTCAGTGCTCTCACTGAGTTGGGGAGACAGAGAAAGATGCTTAGAGATCCTGAAGCAACTGGAATTTGCAGAGCAGAGTACAGACAGGAAAGAGCCACATGGAGAAAGAAGTCCACAAATATGCATAAGAGTCTCCTTTAGTCTTTGGCGTCATATTATTCTGGGCATGCATAGGGTGAAACTCCATGAGGCCAGGCAAAGAACAAGTGACAGGGAGCTGTCGTTATAAAAAATGAATTTTTTTCTGGATGGGGAATTGTTCAAGTTCTAATCAGTCTAAGTGGAGAAAACTATTTGGATACCTGTGGCATTCAGGAGCTACCCAGAAATGTCAAACTTTAATAGTAGGGCTAAATTATCCCTAAAGTAAAGGCTTCTCTAGTTATACCCTAATAAAGTTTGAAAAGAAGCCTTGAAAGGATCAAGCTTACCTGCAAGTAACTTAACTGCTTGCCAAAACAATCTCCAACACTCTCTAAAGAAAGACAATATATCAGGAGAAAAAATTAGTCAACAGAAATCATGTTACTCCAGATCCTTAAGAAACTGACACCAAAATGAGATTAAGTGTGCAAAGATTTTATTAGGAGAAACACCTGTGTGCAAGAAAATGGGGAAAAAGCTAGAGAAGGGTGAGATTGCTGCTGAGAGAGAGAGAACAAAGCCTCAGTGACCCATAAAATATCACATTGTCTAATGCATATATAATTGGAGCCCCAAAGAGAGAAGGAGAGTCAGAACAAACATCTGAAAAACGAACGGCTGAAATTTACCCAAATTTGAGGAAAACTATAAATCCACAGAACCAAGAAGCACAAACCCCAATCAAGAAGTAATTGTGAAAAACCACACCAAACCCATCAATCAAACTGCTGAAAAACAATGAAAAAGAGACAAGTTTAAAAGCAGCCAAAGAAAAAAGATACATTATATACAATGGAACAAAGATAAAAATTGAAACAGAGGCAGGCATGGTAGTGCAGGCATGTAGTCCCAAATATGAGGCAGGAGATTGCTTGAGTCCAGGAGTTCTGGGCTGTTGTGCACTATGCCCATCAGGTTTCTGCACTAAGTTCAGCATCAGTATGGTGACCTTCTGGCAATGGGAGACTACTAGGTTGCCTAAGGAGGAACGAACTGGCCCAGGTTGGAAATGAGCAGGTCAAAATCCCATGCTGATCAGCAGTAGTATTGCACCTGTGAATAGTCAATGGCATTTCAGCCTGGGCTACATAGCAAGACCCTCTTCTCTAAAATAAATAAATAGATAATTAATTAAGCAGACTTTTTGTCAGAGATCATACAAATCAGAAGACAAACGAATGGCATCTTCAAAGATCTGAAAGAAAAATCTGTCAGACTAGAACTCTAAATCTAGTGAAAATATTTTTCAAAAATACAAAGAGAATAAAGACTTTTTTTAACATAGACAAAAAAACTGAGAGGCTATCACCAGCAGAACCTACGCTACAAAAATGTTAAAGGAGATGGGGTTGGCAAGATGGCCGAATAGGAACAGCTCCAGTCTGCAGCTCCCAGCAAGATCAACACAGAAGGTGTGTGATTTCTGCATTTCCAGCCAAGGTACCTGGCTCATCTCATTGGGACTGGTTAGACAGCAGGTGCAGCCCACAGAAGGCGAGCTGAAGCAGGGTGGGGCATCACCTCATCCAAGAAGCACAAGAGGTCAAGGAACTCCCTCGCCTAGCCAAGGGAAGCCATGAGAGACAGTGCCTTGAGGAATGGTGCATTCTGGCCCAGATACTATGCTTTTCCCATGGTCTTCGAAACCTGCAAACCAGGAGATTCCCTTGGGTGCCTACACCACCAGGGCCCTGGGTTTCAAGCACAAAACTGGGTGGCCATTTGGGCAGACATTGAGCTAGCTGTAATTTGCTGTTGTTTTTTTTTTTTTCATACCCCAATGGTGCCTGGAACACTAACGAGAAAGAACAATTCACTCCCCTGGAAAGGGGCTGAAGCCAGAGAGCCAAGTGGTCTAGCTCAGCAGGTCCCACCCCCACGGAGCCCAGCAAGCTAAGATCCACTGGCTTGAAATTCTCGCTGCCAGCACAGCAGTCTAAAGTTGACCTGGGACACTCAAGCTTGGTGGGAGGAGGGGTGTCCACCATTACTGAGGCTTGAGTAGACATTTTTCCCCTCACATTGTAAACAAAGCCACCAGGAATTTCAAACTGGGTGGAGCCCACTGCAGCTCGGCAAAGCCGCTGTAGGCAGACTGCCTCTCTAGATTCCTCGTCTCTGGGCAGGGCATCTCTGAAAAAAAGGCAGCAGCCCCAGTCAGGGGCTTATAGATAAAACTCCCATCTCCCTGGGACAGAGCACCTGGGGGAAGGGGTGGCTGTGGGAGCAGCTTCAGCAGACAAACTTTCCTGCCTGCTGGCTCTGAAGACAGCAGTGGATCTCCCAGCTCAGCGCTCGGGTTCTGCTAAGGGACAGACTGCCTTTTCAAGTGGGTCCCTTACCCCTGTGTATCCTGACTGGAAGACACCTCCCAATAGGGGCCGATAGACACCTCATACAGGAGAGTTCTGGCTGGCATCTGGCAGGTGCCCCTCTGGGACAAAGCTTCCAAAGGAAAGAACAGGCAGCAATCTTTGCTGTTCTGCAGCTTCCACTGGTGATGCCCAGGCAAACAGGATCTGAAGTGGACCTCCAGCAAACTCCAGCAGACCTGCAGCAGAGAGGCCTGACTGTTAGAAGGAAAACTAACAAACAGAAAGGAATAGCATCAACATCAACAAAAAGGACATCCAAACAGAAACCCCATCTGAAGGTAACCAATATCAAAGACCAAAGGTAGATAAATCCATGAAGATGAGGAAAAACCAGTGCAGAAAGGCTGAAAATTCCAAAAACCAGAATGTCTCTTCTTCAAAGGATCACAACTCCTCGCCAGCAAGGGAACAAAACTGGACAGACAATGAGTTTGACGAATTGGCAGAAGTAGGCTTCAGAATAATAACAAACTCCTTGGAGCTAAAGGAGCACGTTCTAACCCAGTGCAAGGAAGCTAAGAACATTGAAAAAAGGTTAGAGGAATCACTAACTAGAATAACCAGTTTGAAGAACATAAATGACCTGATGGAGCTGATAAACACAGCACAAGAACTTCATGAAGCATACATAAGTATCAATAACTGAATCAATCAAGCAGAAGAAAGGGTATCAGAGATTGAAGATCAACTTAATGAAATAAAGCATGAAGACAAGATTAGAGAAAAAAGAATGAAAAGGAATGAACAAATCCTCCAAGAAATATGGGACTGTGTGAAAAGACCAAATTTACGTTGGATTGGTGTACCTAAAAGTGACGGGGAGAATGGAACCAAGTTGGAAAACACTCTTCAAGATATTGTCCAGGAGAACTTCCTCAACCTAGCAAGACAGGCCAGCATTCAAATTCAGGAAATACAGAGAACACCACAAAGATACTCCTCCAGAAGAGCAACCCCAAGACACTTAATTGTCAGATTTACCAAGGTTGAAATGAAGGGAAAAATGTTAAGGGCAGCCAGAGAGAAAAGTCGGGTTACCCACAAAGGGAAGCCCATCAGAATAACAGTGGATCTCTCTGAAGAACTGCAAGCCAGAAGAGAGCGGGGGCCAATATTCAACATTTTTGAAGAAAAGAATTTTCAACCCAGAATTTCATATCCAGCCAAACTAAGCTTCATAAGCGAAGGAGAAATAAAATTCTTTACAGACAAGCAAATGCTGAGAGATTTTGTCATAACCAGGCCTGCCTTACAAGGGCTCCTGAATGAAGCACTAAACATAGAAAGGAAAAACCAGTACCAGCCACTGCAAAAACATGCCAAATTGTAAAGACCATGGATGCAACAAAGAAACTGCATAAACTAACGGGAAAAATAACCAGCTAACATCATAATGACAGGAACAAATTGACACATAACAATATTAACCTTAAATGTAAATGGGCAAAATGCCCCAATTAAAAGACACAGACTGGCAAATTGGATAAAGAGTCAAGACCCATCAGTGTGCTATATTCAAGAGACCCATCTCACTTGCAAAGACATACATAGGCTCAAAATAAAGGGATGGAGGAAGATTTACCAAGCAAATGAAAAGCAAAAAAAGCAGGGGTTGCAATCCTAGTCTCTGATAAAACAGACTTTAAACCAACAAAGATCAGAAAAGACAAAGAAGGGCATTACATAATGGTAAAGGGATCAATGCAACAAGAAGAGCTAACCATCCTAAATATATATGCACCCAATACAGGAGCACACAGATTCATAAAACAAGTTCTTAGAGACCTACAAAGAGACTTAGACTCCCACACAATAATAGTGGGAGACTTTAACACCCCACTGTCAACATTAGACAGATCAACGAGACAGAAAATTAACAAGGATATTCAGCACTTTAACTCAGCTCTGGACCAAGCCAACCTAATAGACATCTACAGAACTCTCCACCCCAAATCAACAGAATGTACATTGTTCTCAGTGCCACATCACACTTATTCTAAAATTGACCACATAATTGGAAGTAAAACACTCCTCAGCAAATATAAAAGAATGGAAATCATAACAAACAGTCTCTCAGACCATAATGCAATCAAATTAGAACTCAAAATCAAGAAACTCACTCAAAACCACACAACTACATGGAAACTGAGCAGCCTGCCCCTGAATGACTACTGGGTACATAACAAAATTAAGGCAGAAATAAATAAGTTCTTTGAAACCAATGAGAACAAAGACACAATGTACCAGAATCTCTGTGACACAGCTAAAGCAGTGTTTAGAGGGAAATTTATAGCATTAAATGCCCACAGGAGAAAGCAGGAAAGATCTAAAATCAACATCCTAACATCACAATTAAAAGAACTAGAGAAGCAAGAGCAAACAAATTCAAAAGCTAGCAGAAGACAGGAAATAACTAAGATCAGAGGAGAACTGAAGGTGACAGAGACATGAAAAACTCTTCAGAAAATCAATAAATCCAGGAGCTGGTTTTTTGAAAAGATCAACAAAATAGACAGACTGCTAGCCAGAATAATAAAGAAGAAAAGAGAGAAGAACCAAATAGACACAATAAAAATGATAAAGAGGTTATCAACACTGATCCCACAGATACACAAACTACCATCATAGAATACTATAAACACCTCTATGTAAATAAAGTAGAAAATCTAGAAGAAATGTATAAATTCCTGGACACATACACCCTCCCAAGACTAAACAAGGAAGAAGCCAAATCCCTGAGTAGACCCATAAAAAGTTCTGAAATTCAGGCAGTAATTAGTAGCCTACCAACCAAAAAAGGCCCAGGACCAGAGGGATTCACAGCCAAGTTCTACCAGAGGTACAAAGAGGAGCTGGTACCATTCCTTCTGAAACTATTGCAAACAATAGAAAAAGAGGGACTCCTCCATAACTCATTTTATGAGGCCAGCGTCACTGTGATACCAAAACCTGGCAGAGACACAACAAAAAAAAGAAAATTTCAGGCCCATATCCCTAATGAACACCAATGCAAAAATCCTTAATAAAATACTGGCAAACCAAACCTAACAGCACATCAAAAAGCTTATCCACCATGATCAAGTGGGCTTCATCCCTGGGATGCAAGGCTGGTTCAATATACACAAATCAATAAACATAATCCATCACAGAAACAGAGCCAATGACAAAAACCACGATTATTTCAATAGATGCAGAAAAGGCCTTTGACAAAATTCAACAGGGCTTCCATGCTAAAAACTCTCAATAAACTAGGTATTGATGGGACGTATCCCAAGATAATAAGAGCTATTTATGACAAACCCACAGCCAATATCATACTGAATGAGCAAAAGCTGGAAGCATTCCCTTTGAAAACCAGCTCAAGACAAGGATGCCCTCTCTCACCACTCCTGTTCAACACAGTATTGGAAGTTCTGGCCAGGGCAATCAGCCAAGAGAAAGAAATAAAGCGTATTCAAATAGGAAGACAGGAAGTCAAATTGTCTCTGTTTACAGATGACACGATTGTATATTTAGAAAACTCCATTGTCTCAGCTCAAAATCTCCTTAAGCTGATAAGCAACTTCAGCAAAGTCTCAGGATACAAAATCAATGTGCAAAAATCACAAGCATTCCTATACACCAATAATAGACAAGCAGAGAGCCAAATCATGAGTGAACTCCCACTCATGATTGCTACAAAAAGAATAAAACACCTAGGAATACAACTTACAAGGGATGTGAAGGACCTCTTCAAGGAGAACTACAAACCACTTCTCAAGAAAATAAGAGAGGACACAAACGAATGGAAAAACATTCCATGCTCATGGATAGGAAGAATGAATATTGTGAAAATGGCCATACTGCCCAAAGTAATTTACAGATTAAATGCCAACCCCATCAAGCTACCATTGACTTTCTTCACAGAATTAGAAAGAAATACTTTAAATTTCATATGGAACCAAAAAAGAGCCCACATTGCCAAGATAATCCCAAGCAAAAAGATCATAGTTGGAGGCATCACACTACTGACTTCAAACTATACTACAAGGCTAGAGTAACAAAAACGCATGATACTGGTACTAAAACAGATATATAGACCAATGGAATAGAACAGAGGCCTCAGAAATAACACCACACATCTACAACCATCTGATCTTTGACAAATCTGAAAAAAACTAGCAATGGGGAAAGGATTCCCTATTTAATAAATGGTGTTGGGAAAACTGGCTAGTCATATGCAGAAAACTGAAACTGGACCTCTTCCTTATACTTTATACAAAAATTAACTCAAGATGGATTAAAGACTTAAACGTAAGATCCAAAACCATAAAAACCCTAGAAGAAAACCTAGGCAATACCATTCAGGACATAGGATGGGCAAAGACTTCATGACTAAAACACCAAAAGCAATGGCAACAAAAGCAAAAATTGACAAATGGGATCTAATAAAACTAAAGAGCTTCTGCACAGCAAAAGAAACTAGCATCAGAATGAACAGGCAACCTACAGAATTGCAATCTGTAATTGCAAAAAAATTTTGCAATCTATCCATCTGAGAAAGGGCTAATATCCAGAATCTAAAAAGAACTTAAACAAATTTACAAGAAAAAAATCCACAACTCCATCAAAAAGTGGGTGAAGGATATGAACAGACACTTTTCAAAAAAAAAGATATTTATGTGGTCAACAAATATATGAAAAAATGCTCATCATCACTGGTCTTTAGAGAAATGCAAATGAAAACCACAGTGAGATACCATCTCATGCCAGTTAGAACGGTGATCATTAAAAAGTCAGGAAACAACAGATGCTGGAGAGGATGTGGAGAAAAAGGAATGCTTTTACACTGTTGGTGGGAGTGTAAATTAGTTCAACCATTGTGGAAGACAGTGTGGCGATTCCTCAAATATCTAGAACCAGAAATACCATTAGATCCAGCAATCCCATTACTGAGTAATATCCAAAGGATTATAAATCATTCTACTACAAAGACACATGCACATGTATGTTTATTGCAGCACTGTTCACAATAGCAAAGACTTGGAACCAACCCAAATGCTCATCAATGATAGACTGGATAAAGAAAATGTGGCACATATACATCATGGAATACTATGCAGCCATAAAAACGAATGAGTTCATGTCCTTTGCAGGGACATGGATGAAGCTGGAAAGCATCATTTTCAGCAAACTAACACAAGAACAGAAAACCAAATACCACATGTTCTCACTCATAAGTGGGAGTTGAACAATGAGAACACATGGACACAGGGAGGGGAACATCACACACTGGGGCCTGTCAGGGGGTGGGGGACTAGGGGGAGGGATAGTATCAGGAAAAATACCTAATGTAGATGATAAGGCTACCTAATGTAGCCTCAGACACTAAGACCATAGTTCAAGCTACTATTTTCTTTCACTGGGATTACTGCAAGATCTCCTACTTGATCCCCCTGCATCTACTCTTTACCCCTAAAGTCTAATGTTGATGGGTGCAGCAAACCACCATGGCACGTGTATACTTATCTAACAAATCTGCACGTTCTGCACGTGTATCCCAGAACTTAAAGTATAATAAAAAAAAAAGTTAAAGGATATTTCATACCAAGAAAAGGAAGTTTCCAGAGTGAAGAAAAGTGATCCCAGAGGAAACTTGGATCTACACAAAGAAGAGTGCCAAAAAATGGAAAATGTGCGTAATAAAAAAAGACTTCTTTGTGTGTTGTTAGGCTTCTTTAAACTCTGTCCAAATAATTGGTGCCATTTCTGTCTCCCTACTAAACTCTTACTGATACAGCAGCCTATTTTTTTTTCTCTAATATATCCCATCAGCTCAGAGGGATTTGCAAACCACATCATATCAGTCATATCACTCTCTTCTGATGGCTTCTATTATTCTTTAGAAGAACTAAAAACCTACAAATATAAACTACTTTGTATTGATTACCTATTATAACCCAAGCACTGCTTTTCTTCCAGCATTATCCTTAAATTCCAATCCCCTTACCTTCTCTGATCTGACCCATGCAAGCCTCTCCAGCTTCACTGCTACCCTTGTCTACTTCCTGTCCTCTACCTCACACCAACCTGTTGGGTGTCTCAAACACCTGAAGTTTGTTTCCACTTCAGGATCCTTTTACCCTGGCTAGTTCTTCCCTGGAACATTCTTCATCCAGATATTTGACACTTCTTATTGATAGGATCTCTGCTTGAATATCATTCTGAGGGAGTTTCTCAACCTTTCTATCAAAATTAGCCACCCCCTTGTTTCTCCCCACCATCAACACCACCAACATTCCCCTTCCGTTCTATTTCCCTGCTCAATGTTTTTCAAAATGTCACTATTGGAAATTAAGTTATTTATTTATGTTCCTATTAGGTTTTAGGTTCTTTGGTAGGTTGAATGATGGCTCCTCAAAGATGCCCACTTCCTAATTCCTGTAACCTGTGAATGCATTGTCATACAGGGCAAAAAGACTTGGAAGATTAAGTGAAAGATCTTGAGATGATGCAATTATCCTAGATTATTTAGGTGAGCCCAATGTAATCACAACAATCTTTATAAGAGGGAGGCAGCAGGGCCACACTCACAGAAAGGGACATGGCGATGGAAGCAGAGGGACCTAAAAAGTGATGTGGTGCTGGAAGCAGGGGCTGGAGCAGGAGGTGGAAAGATGCACTTTGAAGATAGAGGAAGAAGCCATGTGCCAAGGACTGTAGGTGGCTTCTAGGACCTGGAAAAAGAAGAAAATTGATTCTCTCCTAGAACCTTCCAAAGAAACTAGCACAGCATATATACCTTGACTTTTGCCCAGTGAGACTAATTTTGGTCTTCTGGCCTTCAGAACTATAAGATAATAAATATGTATTGTTTTAAGCCATTATGTTTGTGACAATTTGTTACAGCAACAATAGTAATCTCATACCAGTTTCTACTCAGGAACAGAAGCTCCATTAAGGAGTCACATTATCTTTATTTATTTGATATCCTGTATCTAATATCATCAAATCAATCATATTCGCTCCTCCTTTGGAATATATCCCAAATCCAGTGACTTCTCAAGGCCTCGGACACTAAGACCATAGTCCAAGCTACTATTTTCTTTCACTAGGAGTACTGCCAGACCTCCTAATTGATCCCCCTGCATCTACTCTTGACCACTAAAGTCTATAGTCCACAGAGAAACCAGAGGAATCTTCTTTAAACATAAATCACAACATCACAGGTTCCTGCTGAAAACTCCAATGGCTTTTCTTATCACTCCAAGGAGAATCCAAAGTCCTTACTGGGGCTGCAAGGCCACACGCCATCTGCTCCTGGGATTCTCTCTGACCTCATCCCCAGGCATTCCACCGTATGCGCTCCCAATAAGGCAGTTCATGAATATTTGATGGATACATGACAGATTGGGACAAGGAGGCATTTCATGAATAATGCATCTCATGAATATTTGGTGGATATATAACAGAAAGGGAGTTCCAAGGAGAGGGAGGCCCATGATGGTCGAAGGTAGTCGGGGAGGATCCATGGAGGAAGCAGGGTCTGAATAATTTTTAACATGTGGATGAGAGAAGAAAAAGAGAAAGAGACATTCCAGGCAGTGAAAATGACCTGGATAAAGGCATAATTTCAAGGAAAACAAACTGATCCCTGTGGGACCCATGTACCAGGTCAGTGATGGCCTTTGACTCTTCTCAACTCTCTGAAAGTCACTTCTGTCCCCTTATGTCCCATATGTTGTGACTGTCAGAACTGGAACCAACATAAAGGTGTGATAAGAATTGTACATAGTAAGTGCTCCGTGTCACAGCCTCCAAGTGTTAAACCTTTATGACACGTTTTTATGTTAATAAATATAAAAATTTTCACTAGAAACAGGCCTAAATTGTTATTTCCTGTCAAGTAATATTAAAGCAGGATGTGTAGGTGTGTCTCCTCTTCTAAGCTCCAATACTGTGTGTCATATTCATCTTGCTATGCTCACAATACAGCATAGTGTGACATATATTGGTGAACAATTTTTGATTTAATGAATGAAGGCCCAGCTTTTGGTTCTTTAGAATCCCTAGATGTTTTACTGTTGTGTCATAAAAACACACTGAACACACACACACAACTTCAAGATGTTCTACTATAGCATGTATTATGACAAAGTATTAAGGACTAAGAATATGGACTAGCTGTATCAGGAATCATGGAAGTGCTCCAATAACAAAACAGCAGCAGCAACAACAATTTGTTAGTTGGGAATTGTGCTAAATGCTTTAGAAGTAATTTCTCATTTAATCTATAATAATTTTATCCTGAGGGAGATAGTATTGTTAATTCCATTCTATAGATAAGAAAATAGCAGCTAAGAGAGGGTACGTGACTTACGTAAGGTTGTAAGTGGCACAGGCAGGATTTGAACCTAGGACTGTGCTTCCAAGTGACCTCAGCTGATTAAAGTATGATGAGGCATTTTGACCCTATCCCAGGGTTTCACTGTGCGGCATGGGACTCAGCGGACATGCTTGCTTAAATGCAGATCACTGGGCCACTCTCCCAAAGATTTTGATTTAGTAGTACTGGCATGAGACCCAGGAATCTGCCTCGAAGATTCACATGCATCTCTGTACTGCTCACTGAATAGAGCAGGGAGTTATTCTTTTTTAGTTCAGCTATACAAATGGAAACAGCATCTTGTGGATGGACATGAATAAGATTAACTCAGAAAAACCCAAGACCAAAAAGATCAATTTGTGTCCCCACCAATGGTCTCAGCTGAACAATTCTGCAGGAGGCCAGCTTAATTAAACTACAACATGATGGCAAGAGCTAAGTGGTTAAAGAAAAATTACCAACATATCCTTTTCCTACCTAGTGTTTACTGTGCGGTACTAAAAGAAATCACAGTTTTCTCAACCTCTTCAAAGCAGAGGCTGGGGCTGGGCATAACAGCAGGTGCATTTATCAGTTGAGGTCAAGACAAACACAGGGATGGCATCAATTGGTGTGAACAATTTTCTTGGGTGATCTGGGCCAACCAGCCCAGTATTTGGGGATTAAGCACATAGGTTTTAGGGTTTGACCAACCCAAATTTCGTTTCTGGCTTCCTGAACAATCAGCTGTACTACCTTAAGCTGCTCAGCCTCTGTTTCTCCATATTTAGGATGAGGATACTAATAGAACCCATTTCATGAAGTGAGTATTCGATTCGAGAATGTCCGCAATCCACTTATTCCTGGTATGCAGCAAGTGCTCAACAAGTGGTCAGTTTGATTATCATAGTTATCATCTTCAAGTTCTTTTCTGCCTTAATTACCTACTCGATTTTGCTTATACAAAAAAGCCACTGTTAGGACTTCTTTTTTCTATTAATGTTTCCTGGAATGCATCCAGTGTTCTCCCCTATGATACATCCAGTATTCCATTCATGAGAAGTGACCTTCAGCCCTCAGCCTTGATGTGACAGCTGAGCTCTTCGAGTGGTCAATCTGCCCATACCTCCAAGTCCTAATGCCACTGCACTTAAAGCCTATGGCCTGCTTTGGGTTGTGTCAGAGACTTTCCTTACCCCTGGTTGTTATGCTGAGTGTGCAGAGCATAGTATATGCTCAAGAAAAACTTGTTGAGTGTAAATTCGTACGTAAAGCCCTGTATTTCAGGAATTACCCAGAGGCCCTGTGATTCCCATAATAGGAGATACATAAGAAAGTGGGATATTTTTCTTTCTAACTTTTATTTTAGGTTCAAGAATACACATGCAGGTTTGTTACATGGGTAAACTGCATGTTGCAGGGGTTTTGTCTCCCAGGTAATCAGCATAATACCCAATAGGAATACCGGATAGGTAGTTTTTCTATCCTCATTCTCCTCCCACTCTTCACCCTCAAGTAGGCTCCAGAGTCTGTTGTTCCCTTCTTTATGTCCATGCGTTCTCAATGTTTAGCTCCCACTTGTAAGTGATAGCATGTTGTATTTGGTTTTCTGTCCCTGCATTAGTTTCCTTAAAATCATGCCCTCCAGCTCCATCCATCTTGCTTCAAAGGATATGATTGCATGCTTTTTCGTGGCTGGATACTATTCCATGGTGCCAGTGTACCGCATTTTCTTTATCTAGTCCTCTGCTGATGGGCATCTAGGTTGATTTCTTGTCTCTGCTACTGTGGACAGTCCTGTGATGAACACATGCATGCATGTGTCTTTATGGTAGCAAGTGGGTTTCACTGGAACTTGATTGCTATGACTCTATAGAAATGATAGTAATATTTAATGCAGAGTAAGGGTAATTTGTGTCAATGTAAAGTCTGAACAAAATTGGGTCTTGGGTAAAATTTTTCAAAAAATATTTAAAATGTGTTCCCTGATGTTGGGACACCTACTCAGATGTCAGTAGGAGAAATGAGAGGTTGGCCTTGCTGGCCTTCACCTACTGGCCTTGGCTGTTACCCTGGTGCAGTATTTTGCCTGGGGTTTGAGATTCCTGACAATAAATTATTACCTGCCAGATGTCTCATAAAAATAAAAAATGATTTTATGAAGAAACCCAAGATCTCATCAGCCTTTTGAACGGACACCAAAGTCCTTTTAGCCCTTTTCCCTTATAAGGGAAAGCCACATAAGATGCAACCTTCTGAGTGGCCCCAATGTGGCAGCATTAAGAGTGTGGGCTCTGAAATCCAGCTGTAGTTTTCATTGCCTGTGTGAGCCTGGGCTGTTCACTTAATTTCCCAGCATCTCAGTTTCCACATCTGTAAAATCTGATGAATGAATGTAACATACTTACATATTGCATGGTAATGTTTGCTGTTATTCCTTGGCAGGCTGATACCCGCCTGTATCAGCCATGGTCCAGTTCCAGGAATAGGAAACCACTTCAGCTATTTTTAAGGAAAGAAAATGTAATGCATTGGAAGGGCTGGAGGAAGGACTCCAGGAGATGGCCTTGGAACTGCTGAGCTCAAGAGTAAGAAGCCACAGCTGAGATGCAGAGATCGGGAAGCGAGTGATCCCACCACTAGGAAGCCGAGGACCAGACAGAGCTGAGCTGGTCACCACAGCCACAAGAATGCCTTTCAGATCCATGAAGACAAGTCTGGACATGCTTCACAGGCCCGTCTGTGATGGCCCCAGCGGTCCCTGCCTTCAGGTGTCCACGCCCTTGTGTAGCCTCCTCCCACATGGTACCAGGGATGGTCTGTGTGAGCAACAGAATACAGCAGAAGTGAGGGTGTGCCACTTATAAGACTGGGTTTCAGAAGACACTGTGACTTCTATCTCAGTAAGGGACTCATAGTCTGTTTCTCTCCCAGGTCTTTTGTTCTGGGGGAAACCGGTTGCCTTGTCTTGAGGACACTCAGGCGGCCCTGGGGAGAAGCCCACGTGGTGAGGAACTGAGGCCTCCTGCCAACAACCGTGTGAGTAAGCGTGGAGGCAGCTTCTCCAGCTGACAGCTGACTACAGCCTCGTGAGAGGCCCTGGGCCAGAACCACCCAGTTAAGCTGCTCCCAGACTGCTGACCCACAGAACCAGGGGAGAGAAGAAATGTTTACTATAGTGAGCTGCTGACTTCTGGAGCAATTTGTTACTCAGCAATAGATAAATAATACAGCATCTAACTGGGAAGACTTAATTCGCCTCCCAATCCTGGCAGCAGGGAATGTGAGGCATAGATTTTAGCCTTCCAGTGCTGCGGCGCAGAGCAGTCCATGAGGAGGAGGGGCTGGCTGCTGAATGGTCTAATCCACAGAACGTGCCACACCATTTTCTACCAGGGAGGCTGACGTGGATAGTGTTTTTAAGAAGCAAGGGATCTGATAACCAACATATTCCAGAGAACTCCCTCTTGCCAGAATCTTGTCCGCCTTCATTCACCATTACAAATGAAGTCCTTCTTTTTTTGTGATGATTGGCATTCACCAACAGTTTGCCTCTTTCCCTCGATGACACAGAGAGAAGAGAATTCTTTCTGTATCACATAGAGCTTTCACAAAGAATGTCTCAGGATTCTCTGCTAAGCAGAACCCTTTCCTCTTAGGGGCTTACAGTGAAGTGCAAACACTGTAGCAACATAAAGAAACCTGTGCAAGACAACAGCCTGGGACATGAAGCCCTGCTTGGAGGCTAGTAGCAGACCCATTTGACCGGACCCACTTTGGCTATTGTTGAACAATTCTTGAGCAGTTTCAGCGACCCTCTGCCCACACCACCTGAGGTGGATCCTGAAGGGATCCAAATTACCCTATTTAAAGGGGAAATTGTTTTCCTTGGTGATTCTCAGAAGTACACGAAGGAAAAGTCTATGCTTTATAAAAGCTAATGCATGGCCTTTGCAAGTTCCCACACAAGGAAGTAACTGAGGCAGGTGCTAGTTGCAACAACAGAGACATGTGTGCCTTTGTTTTCCAGAAACCACGAGAGCCATTTAACAGGGAAAGGGTGTACTGGGACTGGACCTTGGCTTGGGGGACCAAGGCAGGGCTCCGTATGGAGGCAGTAAGACAGGTAATTCTCAGAGGGTTAGTGTGGAGATCATTAGTAGCTTTTCTCTGAGAAATTAACAGAAGGGGCAAGAGTGTGAAAATGTCCCAGGGTAGATGCTGTCCGTGAGTGAGAGTGCTGAATAGCCAATGATTTATTAAGTGACCTTTAGAAGAGTTAAGCAGGGTGACAAGCGCATTTAATTTGCACTTAGGGCTTGTGTTTCTTTAAACATGGAGTATTACTAGAGGAACTTTTCTTATCTAAAAAACTATATGGTTTGGGAAAAGTAAAGATAAGTAAATATTATATAATTTTCTGACTCTCTTAGTTTTTTTTATAACTACAAAAAGCTTAGCCCAAATCTACCCTGGACACAGTTATCAGTTTATCAGGTGGCTCTCTGTCCCTGACTAGTGTGTTCTGACTTCATTCAATACACACACACACACACACACATCAACACTCTAAACGGATCCTTGGGCTCAGAGTTTTGAATTGCTGAGCATCAGCTGGTGAGCAAACACTCTGAGATGTTCTGTGCTGTGCTTCTGCCAGTTCAGTTTCTGCAGTGTTGCTATCCTTAGGCTTCACATGGGGCCACTTCATTGTACTTGAACCCCATTCTGTCTTAAAGCTGGTGGAAAGTGGGAAATTTAGTTATTGGCCTCCTAAACTTAACATATTTGTGGCAAAGATGAAAATTATTGAGTGGTTCCAAAGCAGTGAATCCTAATCTTTCATCAGACACTTCTTGTGCTTAATCGAATTGATTCTGTGTTCAATTTGAAATCAAATAACAATATTAGAGAAGATTATTAAAAGTCAAAATATAAAAAGCAAGTATGGTAGGAGAATTTCTAATTTTTTGATCTTTGAAAGAGGAACATGATTTATAAAGTATAGCATTGTTAGAATCTCAGAACAAGAGGAATACCTTATATATAAATACTGGGACTAACAGGTGGACAACTCTCCAGAGACAGTTTTTTCATAGCCATGGCACAAATCGAAACTCCTCTGATGCTTTTCAGAGCTGAGAAACATCACTGAGATTAAAAATTATAATTTAGAGCAGACCTCGATGCATGATCATCAAGATGTCAAGCAAAAAACAGGCCTGGGCGCTGTTGACCTCCTTGTCTCTCTCTCTCTCACTCTCACTCACTCTTTCCCTCTCTCTCTCTCCCTTTAAAAATTCTAAAACACCTACTTCTTCAGTTACACATATACTCATTGATATGGGCTAGTTGGAGATGGAGACATTCACGTAGACATAGACATTGGTATACATATAAATATACATGTACATACAGTAAAGTCTTCTGCTCACTTTCTCCCATTCCAATCAGGGAAGTTATTTAATTGGTGAAATTTTAGAAGCTGTTGAATGATGGAACAATGGGCCAGGCACGGTGGCTCACGCCTGTAATCCTAGCACTTTGGGAGGCCAAGGCAGGAGGATCACTTGAGGTCAGGAGTTCGAAATCACCCTGGCCAACATGGTGAAACCCTGTTTGTACTAAAAATATTTTAAAAATTGGCCAGACATGGTGGCAGGTGCCTGTAATCCCAGCCACTTGGCAAGCTGAGACAGCAGAATCGCTGGAACCCAGGAGGCGGAGGTTGCAGTGAGCCAAGATCACGCCACTGCCCTCCAGCCTGGGCAACAAGAGCGAAACTCCATCTTGGAAAAAAAAATGATACAACAATGTAGCTTGTGGGTGGGAATAGGGAAATAATATTGCAAGCAAGGTCCAGAATAATGCTTGTGTCTATAATAGGGTCCCTTCTCTTTCTTGGCTCAGTTGAAGACTGCATTGGTATGCCTAAGATCTGCACACATCTGGAAGACAACCAGAGAACACAAGTCTTTTAGAAATTCATGAGGCCTTAGAGACTGATATGGCCTGCCCTCTCCCTGTCTCCCATTAGCTCTTGTTTTTTAATAATAATAGAAACTCAGTGTTTGTGCCCTTTGATGTGAAATTTCTTGCTGTGGTCATCTTGATTAAGGGAAGGATGCTATACACACACGATTTAATGTACAAAGATGTTCATCCTGGCCTCATTTACAGTGACAAACAATAAAGATAAAAGTAAACAACCTAAGAGTCTCCAGTAGATTCAGGGATGCTCATGAATCATTCATGTTATTTTAGGCGCTTCTGGTTCTAAGATAAACTCAGACCAGTGGGAATCGGGGAGTTATATTAAAATGTCCTTGGGGTTGTAGGTGTAACAACAAAGAACAGGAGCTGGGCTTGGCCAGGCCCCAGGAGAACAGGAGCTTGTCCAAGGCAGTCCCAGGGGCTTTAGGGGCATGAAATTAAGGCTCATCACCATACTGTTCTGTCATTAATGAGTACTAGCGACTCTTTCCCTCTCTGTTTCAATCCCAACTTCCTGAGTAAAACTGACTTCCTTATCTACCACCTGGAATCTCTTCTCTCCACCTCACAGCTTCTGCTTTTCTTGATGATAGTTTTAACTTATTTATGCTATTCATCGTTTTTGGTTCCTTATGACTTTGACTTGCTGTGACCCATCATGATGTCACTGGTACTTTCATTTAAACTTTAACTCTCGTTGGTAAATAACAGGTTTCATGTTTCCATTTAATATTTCTAAAATTAATAGTCCAGTGAGTAGTAACCACCACTGTTAGGGCTGAGCCTCTAGGTGCCAGTAATTACCATAGGGTGCTGCTAAGCCTATGGGTTGCCTGCCCTTCTGTGAGCCATCCCTAGGGAAGGGATGGGTTATTAAAGAAACATCACTGCATATCGTACCTCTTCAATATGAACTGTGGCTGAGAAGCTTCCCTTATAAGGGACTCTAGGCATATGCAGGCACCATAATTAGCATCTCTAGTGTACAAACTAATATAGAAATACGAAAGCATGACAATTGCCCACATGTACTTCTAGTCGTGAGTAAATTTGTACAACTTTTCAAGAGGGTAATTTGGCAGTATATATCAAATGACTTGAATGTTCAAAGACTTCACCCAATAATTCTGCTTCTAAGGTTTTATCCCAAGGAAGGAATCAGAGATGAACACAAAGATCTACAAGTAAGGATCTTCATCAGAAAATTATTTATATTAGGAAAGATGTTTTAAAAGGAGATGAATTAAGCTATGTTTTATGTATACATAGATATATATATGTATACACACACCCATATGCAATAGAGTTAAGTTTTTTTATTTTTATAGATTTGGGGGTACTGTATCATGCAGTTTTGATACATGGATATACTGCATAGTGGTGAGGTCAGTGCTTTTAGTGTAAGCATTATTTTAGTAGTGTACATTGCACCCATTGGGTAATTTCTCATCCCTCACCTCCTTCCCACCTTCCTACCCTTCTGAGTCTCCAATGTCTATTATCAATCTATATGTCCTTGTCTAGCTCCCATTTATAAGTGAGAACATGTGGTATTTGACTTTCTGTTTCTGAATTTTTTCACTTAAGATAATGGCCTCCAGTCCCACCAATGTTACAAAAGACACAATTTCAGTTTTTATGGCTAAGTAGTATTCCATGGTATGTGTATGTGTTTGTGTATGTATATATATAAATATATATGTGTGTGTGTATTTTATGGTATGTGTATGTGTGTGTTTGTGTGTGTGCAATAAGTGCCCATTGATGGGCACTTAAGTTGATTCCATATCTTTTTATGCAATAGAATATTATACAGTTATTAAAGTGGTTGTATATGGTATAGACAAATATGTAATATGTCAGAGGGATGTTCAAGCTATAAAGCAAAAAAATAGATTGAAACAATAACATTAGAATCTTAGAAAACATTCCCTAATTTTATTTATAAACACACACAGTAAAACTGGAGAGCTGTGTAACAAAATTTTAGTCATGGTTATTTCTAAAGAGAGATAATGTATAATTTTTCCATAATGTTCTCTTACGACTAGCCATTATTTTTTTAATCAGAAAGAATTTACCTTTAACATCAGTGTTTACTAGAAGTTTCTGATAATGCTGATTTCACAATGTTAAGTGAAAATGAGAACACAAAATTCAACATCGCACTTGGTTACCACTATATTAAGTGGAGCAAAAATACAAGAAACACACTTCAGGGTGGGGACATCTATCTCTGGGTACTGAGACTACAGGAGACTCTCTTCTTTCTACATTACTATATTTTCTATAATTTTCTGAAATGGGCATATGTTAATTTAAATCTTTTTTTTATGTAAGAGAATTTGAGGATCAGAAAGATTAAAGGCTTTATCCAAGGCCACAGCTGTTAGACAGACTGGGATGGCAGAGCAGGTAGTGGATACTGTAGTGTGTTGCCCAGAACTCCTCCAGGAATGAATGACTATTCCCCCAGCTTCTGGAAGTGCTGCCAGATGACAGCCCTCAGATGTCAAAGCGCCTAAGCTAAAACGAGCCTCCTTCTTCAACAAAGTTACTCACCCTTTCCAGGGTGGCTCACACCCAATGATGGAGGGTCACAAAAGACTCCAGCAGGGATGGCACTAAAGGTTTTTCCAGCTCTAGAGCTCCTAGTGGGGGCTGTCAGCTGGGGCCTTAGTTGGAGCTGCATCATAGCTTGACTTCTTCCTCTGCCCAGTTCTGCCTCCTTCCTCCTGCTTCCCTAGGTATGACTCCTCAGAACACTTCCTAATAAACATCTTACATGATACTCTCCATCTCAGAGTCTGCCTCCCAGGGAACCCATGTGACAGTTGGTGCCAGATATCGTCCGAGAAAGCAGACATAAGATAGGTTATTGGAGCTGGTCACCTACCAGCAAACTGATGATGAAAACCCCATTGCTAGTGGGAAGTGGAGGCCAGAGAGCTGCTGGCCCAAGATGAAAGGACAATTGTTGGAAATTCAACCAGTGGTGAGACAGGATTGCACATCAGTGGTAGGGAATACATTAGCTGGTGCAATGCAGCAGGCATCTGAGAAATATGAGAGAAATTATTACTATGATATAAGGACAACAGAATTGGGTGGCTACTACTGAAACTGACTGACTTCTGGAAAAAGAAAACAAAAAGCTGAGTGTGATTAACCAGCAACTAAGAGATAGTTTTGAAAGCTAGAGGACTTCCTGGAAGCCTATAAAAAGGCTCAAATCTCCTGAAGTGGGAGGGCAGAGAAGGCTGTACACCAGACAAAGAACTTCATCTGGAGAGCAGCTGAGTTTCAGAGAGGGTCACACTTTTAACAAGGTAAGGTTGCTGTGCCAGGGCCAGGGCCGTGCATGGGAGAGAATGGAACCCTGACACACACAATGACGGCATCTGGGTAGATGTTTCTGAAGACCTTGAAGGCCCAGATTAGGCTGACAGAAGTGGACTCTCCCTACCAACCCCTTACTTGAAGACGGTACAGAGGTGTCTCCCCACAAAGCATGTGCCCCCGCCTCAGGATCCAACCCCTGTTGCCCACTGGCCACAAGTCCTAGAACTAGGGGTGAGTCACAACATAACCCAGCCAGGGCCATGCTGGGCCTGAAAAGGGGTAAAGGGACTGTGCCTTGAAGGAGTTGCAGGACCCAGCCAGGTGGTGCAGCAAGACAGGAAAGGGTATGGGTGGGCTGGGTCCTGAGGGTGCTGGATGGGAGGCAGAGCATGAGGTTTGGAACATGGTCCTTGGCCTATGGGGTAACAGCTACCAGGAAATGTTATTGGTTTGGAAATAATCAGTAATGGAAAATGCCAAGGAAATGTTATTGATTTGGGTGTACTCTTTCTGGATTCAGGATGGAACACCCAGGTAAGAATCCCAGGTGTAGATATACTATGAGGATGGCCCCAAATAACGTGGGATAGTGACAGCTGCACTGGGTGAGGCGGATATGCCAGAATTTCAGCAGCAGAAGGTGGAGGAAGGGAAGAAAGGCTCAGAGGCATGTGCATGCTCAAGTGTATTGCTCCATGAGGCTGGGAAACCCAGCAGTGGGATGCATTCCATGGAAAAGACCAGGGGACACAGTGTTCACCAAGCGCTAAGGGACGTGCTGGGGAGAGGGCACCAGCTTCACTCAGGAGGCCGGTGGTGGCTCTGCAGGAGACGCTGCCCCAGAGCTGGGCTCAATGAAGGGTAGAGGGACGCACTACCTACCACTGACAGGTAGAGGGACCTTGAAGCACCCAAGGACACTTCACAGCGTGACCCCATCTGTGGGAGACAATCATCACAGCGAGTGGCAAGAAGCTGGGGCCTGACCCACAGGGAGTGAGGGAAAGAATTTATAAAACACAGTGCCCTGCGGGGCAAAATAAATGGGCAGCCAGTAAGGATAGCATTGCATCTGTGCAGTCAAAGAAATCAAGGTGGGTGGACTGGAGGCCAAGAGCTGTGCCCCCGAAACCATCCTTTCTGATCCACATTTTGGATCCAGAACCCACTGACTGAAGGAGAGTCTGGGTTCCCAGAAGGAAGGGAGGGAGGGCAGGAGGAGGGAGGGCAGTGCCTGCAACACCATGGCAAGTAAACATGGTAATGATTCATCCAGTCTTCCTCAAAGGGACATTTACTTGGATAACTGTACACTGAGGAAAGGCAAGTACCCAAACATTTTGAAAACTGCTGGACACAGAGTCTAAGCTGACATCATAGAGACACAAAGCAATGCTGCCCTCTACCCTAGATTCAGAACATATGGGGACCATGTAATAAATGGAGTCTTGGCCCAGGTCCTGCTCATAGTGGATCCACTGGGCCCATAGACCCCTCCTGGCAGTCATTTCCCTGGTCTTTGAACATATACTTGGGATAGACAGACTTGACAGGTGCCCAGGACCCACACACTGTGTCCTTGCTCTGTGGGGTAAGAGCTACCATAGTGGAAAAAGCCAACTGGAAGCCTCTGAACATACTGCCCCTCTGCCAGCACAGAAGTACCTAGGGGCTGGCAAACTTCTGTACAGGGCCAGACAACAAATATTTTAGGCTTTTCAAGCCAAGAAGCAACATCTTCAACTCCTCAAGCAACCGCCCTCCTCCCCCAAAAGGCTAATCATCTTTTTTATACTTAAAAATCTAAAAACCATTCTTAGTTCACAGACTGTGCAATATCCAACAGGCTGAAGACATTATGGTATGGTCTCTGTCGAGTTCACCATTCTTAGAGAAGGCCTGAAATGTCCAAGGGGGCTGTGAGGTCTCTCAGGAAGAAGAAGTGAAATGTAATTTTCCTTTGGGTCAGGAAGTTCCTAGGACTGTAGATTGTCAAATCCTGGGCACATATGAGGTTTATTTACTTTTTTTTCAAAACTAAGAAACTAGTTCCAAACAGAATAAACTTCGATCAAATGTTTTTAGCCTGGGAGTCCGGCTCCCCGACTATATTGCATCCAAAGCTCTCTCTCTCTCTCTCTCTCTCTGTGTGTGTGTGTGTGTGTGTGTGTGTGTGTGTGTGTGTGTGTGTGTATGTGTGTGTGTGTTTCCCTGCAAGAGGGCCCGAGTATCATTTTCTTCACAAATTCAAAGACTTTGCAAGAACCACCATTGTGGGGTGCTGTGCCTGACCACAGCCCAGGCCCCAGGCCCTGCTGGCTGGAGGATTGATGCTGCCTGGCTTCCCTGGTGAGAACTCACCATTAACAAAAGACCTCTGGGCTGCCACCAGTTCCAGAGGGGCTTCAGGTGTCCGAGAAATGCAGGGGAAAAGCTGCCCCAATCAATAGGCTGAATGGTTCAATAACTCATTTTGCTGCTGAGGCAGTAAAATAAATAAATAAGAACCTGGCTGGAAGTTGAAACTGTCTGTGTTCAGTGCTTCTCGGAGGCCAAGTTGATGGGCTTTAATAGCTTCGGTCGGCACAGAACACAGGCAGACTGTCCCAGCAGTGTGCCCTCGGTTTCCTAGGTAACCAAACTTGAAATAAGATGATGGCTCAAACTGGGTACCAAATCAATTTGTTGGAGGTACAAATGTGGGGAAGGCGAACTTCACATAAAACTGCAGACTGCAGCATCCACGCTGATGATCGTGTCAGTGCGTGGGTATCTACCGCTCATTACCTCCCACCCTAGAGGAAGGGACGCCACCAGCCTCTTCCTCCCGACCCTGGAGTAAAAAAAAAAAAAAAAAAAAATCCACAAGTTCCAATTGTGCTGTCATGATCAATAGGATGCTTCTTTCCAGGCTGCCTGTCAGGGGAGGATAGGATAAAAAGAACCAGAGAAAGCTGTGCATAGGCAAAGCTCTTTTGTGTTACAAGACTTAGCAGTGGGGCTCTGCCTAAAGCAAGGATCTGAGAACTGCTGTGCAAATCTAGGGTGTAAAGAGATTGTTCCAGGGCTTTCTCCCTAGGGAAGAAAATCCCTAAGTACTACAGTTGGCCAACAAGCAATTCTCAGCCTTCACCTGGCTTCAGTCTCAGGGAATTACACCAGTTGCCATTTTGGCTCTATCAAGGGTATATCCTTCCCCAGTGTCTTGCACACTCCAATCCTAACACCCATCACACTATATTGTAATTGCCTAATAATCCTTTGTGCCATCTATTCAGCTAACACCATACATAGTAAATGACAACAGCTCACAGCATGTTTGGTGAATGAATGGACTTCGATGGAGACAGTGGTGATAAATCCCTCAGTTCATGCAGAATCCTTGGGGTTTGAATCCTCTTGTCACATCCTCCTTCGCACCTCAAGTCTTTACTTCCCAAACTTAAGAAGGACAGCAACACCTCCTGCCATCCCCAAACCCCTAGGACCCCAAGGAAAAATCATTTCCCCCAAGTCTGACACATAACTGGCGCTTAATCAATGCTTGCCAATTAAGCTGCGTTGATTATCGTGCAAAGTTATCTCACATTATTTTAGCATCAGCTTTGGGCTTCTACCTTTTCATTGTCAATTTAATAATTCAAGAGACTTTTATCGAGTGTATCAGTCAGGATAGGTGGGCATCAGCAAACCTTCTCTCTGTAGGGCCAAATAGTACAATTTTCTACTTTCTAGACCATGCAGCATCTGTCACAACTGTTCATTGCTGTCATTGCTGTGTGAAAGCAGGTGTAGACAATATATAAGTGAATGGGTATGGCTGTGTCCCAATAAAACTTCATTTGCAAAAACAAGTGAATGACCAGATTTGACCCATGGGCCATAGTTTGCCAACCCATAAGCTAGGATAGGCTATAGCAACAAACACCACCAAAATCTCGGAGGCTGAACACACTGAGAGGCTATTTCTCCCTCATGCAACATGCCCATCATGGGTTGGTGGTGGGGAGGGAGGTCTTCTCCACAAAATTACCACAACATCTTATGACAGAGCCATCTCTATGTGAGGCTTCAGTGTTCCCCATGGCAGGAAAGGGAAGGGCCAATAAGGCAAGTTCTGGCAAATAAACGCCTTATCCCAGAAGGCACACACATCACGTCTATCCTCATGTCATCGTCTAGAACCCATCACCCCACCTGTCCTGAATTCAAGGGCATGCAGAACTGTAATCCAAAGTTAGAAGAGAACTGAACATTGGCAAATTAAGTCATGTCTACGATGTTGAGAATCAGTCATGAGCAAAGCCCTGATCCAATGCTGGGCATCAGTCATGAGCAAAGCCCTGATCCAATGCTGGGCATCAGTCATGAGCAAAGCCTTGATCAGGAGAAGAAAGTAGCTAAGAGGAGGCCCCTGCTTAATAGGCAGGCATCCAGCCCAGTGACCAAGACAGACACACCTGCAGAAAAAGCTGCTGCAAGCAAGTGGGTTAGGAGGGTGAGGGTCTATACTCCCCTTAGCCATAAACTCCATAACCAGTCCGAAGAATGACAATAAGGATAAGTACACAACACATGACAAGGATATCAGGCAAGAATCCCAATTCTTTGCACATTCGATGGGCAGTGAAAATCTGGATGACTTGTGATTGGGCACCCACACCTCCAGACTATTTCTAGATTGAGGGATATTGGGCCTATTGGGTATGGGGTGAGAAAGAGCAGAGAGAAGAAAGCAAACACAGCCTTCCCATGTGTAAAGTAATGATGTAAATTTTTAAAATAAGTTACTGGAAAATAGTAGAAGCCTATCAAGGACAGATGTTCCTTCCACTCAAGCAGCCTTTATGCCACATCAGCAACAGACACCAGTGGATCCTCATTTTGAACACTCAACTGTGACTTTGGGAGGAAAATGCTGGTCAAATTCACTTACAAAGTAGGGAAAGCCTGGAATTTGAAAAGCCTGGAGAGAGCCTGGCAGTGAACAGTAAAGAAAAGAGACACACGCACGTGACCCATCGTGCCCTCGTCCAGCTCTGCCTACAAGCTTGGCATGGCCTGAGGGCCCCTGGCCAGCCTGATACAAAGAGAACTCACAGGTCAGAAGTTGGCACAGGGCTTAGAGGAATGGTTTACCTGCTTAATGAAACAATTCATTTTGTCAGTTCCCAAGAATACTTACCTTCTCCCCAGAGACTTCCAAGAATTAATTAATACTAAAGGCTTGTCAGGCCCTTTGCCAATATTAAGGATTTGTTTAATCTGAAAGGCCAGTGTAAGCACAAATAGACGAGTTTGGCTTTATTTTATAATACTCCATCTGACGACAAGCAAAGTGACCTTGCCATATGGAAATACAAGGAAGAGAGCCCTTCCTACAAAAAAGTACCACGCCAGACCACGGTGGCTCACGCCTGTAATCTCAGCACTTTGGGAGGCTGAGGCAGGCAGATCACGAGGTCAAGAGATCAAGACCATCCTGACAAACATGGTAAAACCTCATCTTTACTAAAAATACAAAAAAATTAGCCAGCCATGGTGGCGTGTGCCTGTAGTCCCAGCTACCCGGGAGGCTGAGACAGGAGAATTGCTTGGACCCAGGAGGCGGAGGTTGCAGTGAGCCAAGATCGCACCACTGCCCTCCAGCCTGGCAACAGAGCGAGACTCCAAAAAAAAAAAAAAAAAAAAAGGAAAAAAAAAAGACTGCCGTGGAAGGCAGGCAATATGATATATGGGAAAGTTCTGTACCTTCTAACCAATTTTGCTGTAAACCTAAAACTGCTCTTAAAAGTAAAGTCTATTACCAAAAAAATGGCTGCAAATTCTTTGACATTCCTCCCATCGAGAGTTTGGGTGGAGGGAGGGGTCTGTATCCCCTCCTGTTAAATCTGAGTGGGCTTGAGACTGTGGGACTTCCAGGGTTAGCTCAGGAAAGGCAATGCTGCTTCCTCTTTGTTTGCTGGGACACTTGCCTTTAGAGCCTTAAGCCATAGTGTATGAAGTCTGACTGCTCTGAGGCCACCATGCTGTGTAGAAGCCCAGGCCACCTGGAGAGGCCACGTATGGGTGTTCCAGCTGCAGCCACAGCTGAGGTCCCAGCTGACAGCCAGTATCATCTACTGGACACATGGATGCCTCCAGGTGATTCCGGTCATATTGAGTCAACCCCCGGTGTTCATGCACCCAGTCAAGGCCCCAGACGTGGAGCAGAGCCAAGCTGTCCCTGATGTGTTCTATCCAAATTCCTGACCCACAGAATTTGGGAGCATAATAAAACAGTTGCTTTATGCAACTATGGTCATAGTGATTTGTTACACGTTGATAGTAACTTAAATGTGAAGGCTGCATAGAATCACGGTTAATAAGGAATCCAGAACCCATCTGCTTGACTCCCCCATTTACCACCACCTCCGCAACCTGGTGCAAGGTATTTCAACTCTTGTGCCTCAATTTTCTCATTGGTAAATTGTAGGTACTATTAGTGCCTACCTAATATGGGTTACTGTGAATATTCAGTGATTCAGAAAGTGCTTAAAACACTGCGTGGTACCCAGTAAACGCTCCATAAAGATTTGCTGTTCTATTCCAAAGCCTTTCCTGACCACTGTAGCCCATGGTGATGTCTTCTCTTATTCAATCCCTCATCGGGCACCACTCACCTTTCCCCAGGGACGACTGTTGGGTTGTCTAAGAATGTCTTCTCTCCCTGGCCTGACTGCTGGGGTCTTCAGGGCAGGGAACAGCATGCATCTGGCATCTCAACAGCTGTGGGCACAGAGCTTTGCACAGAATGGATGTTCTAAAGTATATGTTGAAGAAGAAAAACACAAGGCACAGACAGGCACATGAATGGCTCTCATTGGTTCAGTGCCAACGACAGCTCGGGAGGGCTGGTAACTCTCCATCCTCAGTGTGCTCTGCCTAAGATAATCCTCCTCCCTGGCACTTCTCTTCTATTATGCTCTTCATCCGCTCTCTTATGTTCCAGTCTTTTTGGAAGATTTTGGTTCAATGAGTTCCTTTCACGCTCAGTGTCAAAAGTACCTTGTTGCATTTCCTGATAAACAGTTGTTTGGACATATGGAAATTCCTAGCATTGCTCAAAGTTGACACGAGTATGGGAAATAGTCATTACCTCATCCTGCTAGCATGAGAGTTCCTGGATGCAGGTATTTTTGAAAGTAAATTGGCCTGGAGGAGCCAAGATGGCCGAATAGGAACAGCTCCGGTCTACAGCTCCCAGCGTGAGCGACGCAGAAGACGGTGATTTCTGCATTTCCATCTGAGGTACCGGGTTCATCTCACTAGGGAGTGCCAGAGAGCGGGCGCAGGTCAGTGGGTGCGCGCACCGTGTGCGAGCCGAAGCAGGGCGAGGCACTGCCTCACTCGGGAAGCGCAAGGGGTCAGGGAGTTCCCTTTCCGAGTCAAAGAAAGGGGTGACGGACGGCACCTGGAAAATCGGGTCACTCCCACCCGAATACTGCGCTTTTCCGACGGGCTTAAAAAACGGCGCACCGCCTGTAGTCCCAGCTACTCGGGAGGCTGAGGCAGGAGAATGGCGTGAACCCGGGAAGCGGAGCTTGCAGTGAGCCGAGATTGCGCCACTGCAGTCCGCAGTCCGGCCTGGGCGACAGAGCGAGACTCCGTCTCAAAAAAAAACAAACAAAAAAAAAAACAAAACAAAAAAAAACAGCGCACCACGAGATTATATCCGGCACCTGGCTCGGAGGGTCCTACGCCCACGGAGTCTCGCTGATTGCTAGCACAGCAGTCTGAGATCAAACTGCAAGGCGGCAGCGAGGCTGGGGGAGGGGCGCCCGCCATTGCCCAGGCTTACTTAGGTAAACAAAGCAGCCGGGAAGCTCGAACTGGGCGGAGCCCACCACAGCTCAAGGAGGCCTGCCTGCCTCTGTAGGCTCCACCTCTGGGGGCAGGGCACAGACAAACAAAAAGACAGCAGTAACCTGTGCAGACTTAAATGTCCCTGTCTGACAGCTTTGAAGAGAGCACTGGTTCTCCCAGCACGCAGCTGGAGATCTGAGAACGGGCAGACTGCCTCCTCAAGTGGGTCCCTGACCCCTGACCCCCGAGCAGCCTAACTGGGAGGCACCCCCCAGCAGGGGCACACAGACACCTCACACGGCAGGGTACTCCAACAGACCTGCAGCTGAGTGTCCTGTCTGTTAGAAGGAAAACTGACAAACAGAAAGGACATCCACACCAAAAACCCATCTGTACATCACCATCATCAAAGACCAAAAGTAGATAAAACCACAAAGATGGGGAAAAAACAGAACAGAAAAACTGGAAACTCTAAAAAGCAGACCGCCTCTCCTCCTCCAAAGGAATGCAGTTCCTCACCAGCAACGGAACAAAGCTGGATGGAGAATGACTTTGACGAGCTGAGAGAAGAAGGCTTCAGATGATCAAATTACTCTGAGCTACGGGAGGACATTCAAACCAAAGGCAAAGAAGTTGAAAACTTTGAAAAAAATTTAGAAGAATGTATAACTAGAATAACCAATACAGAGAAGTGCTTAAAGGAGCTGATGGAGCTGAAAACCAAGGCTCGAGAACTACGTGAAGAATGCAGAAGCCTCAGGAGCCAATGCGATCAACTGGAAGAAAGGGTATCAGCGATGGAAGATGAAATGAATGAAATGAAGCGAGAAGGGAAGTTTAGAGAAAAAAGAATAAAAAGAAATGAGCAAAGCCTCCAAGAAATATGGGATTATGTGAAAAGACCAAATCTACGTCTGATTGGTGTACCTGAAAGTGACAGGGAGAATGGAACCAAGTTGGAAAACACTCTGCAGGATATTATCCAGGAGAACTTCCCCAATCTAGCAAGGCAGGCCAACGTTCAGATTCAGGAAATACAGAGAACACCACAAAGATACTCCTCGAGATGAGCAACTCCAAGACACATAATTGTCAGATTCACCAAAGCTGAAATGAAGGAAAAAATGTTAAGGGCAGCCAGAGAGAAAGGTTGGGTTACCCTCAAAGGGAAGCCCATCAGACTAACAGCAGATCTCTTGGCAGAAACCCTACAAGCCAGAAGAGAGTGGGGGCCAATATTCAACATTCTTAAAGAAAAGAATTTACAAGCCAGAAGAGAGTGGGGGCCAATATTCAACATTCTTAAAGAAAAGAATTTTCAACCCAGAATTTCATATCCAGCCAAACTAAGCTTCATAAGCAAAGGAGAAATAAAATACTTTACAGACAAGCAAATGCTGAGAGAGTTTGTCACCACCAGGCCTGCCCTAAAAGAGCTCCTGAAGGAAGCGCTAAACATGGAAAGGAACAACCAGTACCAGCTGCTACAAAATCATGCCAAAATGTAAAGACCATCGAGACTAGGAAGAAACTGCAGCAACTAACGAGCAAAATAACGAGCTAACATCATAATGACAGGATTAAATTCACACATAACAATATTAACTTTAAATGTAAATGGACTAAATGCTCCAATTAAAAGACACAGACTGGCAAATTGGATAAAGAGTCAAGACCCATCAGTGTGCTGTATTCAGGAAACCCATCTCACCTGCAGAGACACACATAGGCTCAAAATAAAAGGATGGAGGAAGATCTACCAAGCAAATGGAAAACAAAAAAAGGCAGGGGTTGCAATCCTAGTCTCTAATAAAACAGACTTTAAACCAACAAAGATCAAAAGAGACAAAGAAGGCCATTACATAATGGTAAAGGGATCAATTCAACAAGAAGAGCTAACTATCCTAAATATATATGCACCCAATACAGGAGCACCAAGATTCATAAAGCAAGTTCTTAGAGACCTACAAAGAGACTTAGATTCCCACACATTAATAATGGGAGACTTTAACACCCCACTGTCAACATTAGACAGATCAACGAGACAGAAAGTCAACAAGGATACCCAGGAATTGAACTCAGCTCTGCACCAAGCGGACCTAATAGACATCTACAGAACTCTCCACCCCAAATCAACAGAATATACATTTTTTTCAGCACCACACCACACCTATTCCAAAATTGACCACATACTTGGAAGTAAAGCTCTCCTCAGCAAATGTAAAAGAACAGAAATTATAACAAACTCTCAGACCACAGTGCAATCAAACTAGAACTCAGGATTAAGAATCTCACTCAAAACCGCTCAACTACATGGAAACTGAACAACCTGCTCCTGAATGACTACTGGGGACATAACGAAATGAAGGCAGAAATAAAGATGTTCTTTGAAACCAACGAGAACAAAGACACAACATACCAGAATCTCTGGAACACATTCAAAGCAGTGTGTAGAGGGAAATTTATAGCACTAAATGCCCACAAGAGAAAGCAGGAAAGATCCAAAATTGACACCCTAACATCACAATTAAAAGAACTAGAAAAGCAAGAGCAAACACATTCAAAAGCTAGCAGAAGGCAAGAAATAACTAAAATCAGAGCAGAACTGAAGGAAATACAGACACAAAAAACCCTTCAAAAAATTAATGAATCCAGGAGCTGGTTTTTTGAAAGGATCAACAAAATTGATAGACTGCTAGCAAGACTAATAAAGAAAAAAAGAGAGAAAAATCTAATACACGCAATAAAAAATGATAAAGGGGATATCACCACCGATCCCACAGAAATACAAACTACCATCAGAGAATACTACAAACACCTCTACACAAATAAACTAGAAAATCTAGAAGAAATGGATAAATTCCTCGACACATACACTCTCCCAAGACTAAACCAGGAAGAAGTTGAATCTCTGAATAGACCAATAACAGGATCTGAAATTGTGGCAATAATCAATAGCTTACCAACCAAAAAGAGTCCAGGACCAGATGGATTCACAGCTGAATTCTACCAGAGGTACAAGGAGGAACTGGTACCATTCCTTCTGAAACTATTCCAATCAATAGAAAAAGAGGGAATCCTCCCTAACTCATTTTATGAGGCCAGCATCATCCTGATACCAAAGCCGGGTAGAGACACAACAAAAAAAGAGAATTTTAGACCAATATCCTTGATGAACATTGATGCAAAAATCCTCAATAAAATACTGGCAAACCGAATCCAGCAGCACATCAAAAAGCTTATCCACCATGATCAAGTGGGCTTCATCCCTGGGATGCAAGGCTGGTTCAATATACGCAAATCAATAAATGTAATCCAGCATATAAACAGAACCAAAGACAAAAACCACATGATTATCTCAATAGATGCAGAAAAGGCCTTTGACAAAATTCAACAACCCTTCATGCTAAAAACTCTCAATAAATTAGGTATTGATGGGACATATCTCAAAATAATAAGAGCTATCTATGACAAACCCACAGCCAATATCATACTGAATGGGCCAAAACTGGAAGCATTCCCTTTGAAAACTGGCACAAGACAGGGATGCCCTCTCTCACCACTCCTATTCAACATAGTGTTGGAAGTTCTGGCCAGGGCAATTAGGCAGGAGAAGGAAATAAAGGGTATTCAATTAGGAAAAGAGGAAGTCAAATTGTCCCTGTTTGCAGATGACATGATTGTATATCTAGAAAACCCCATTGTCTCAGCCCAAAAGCTCCTTAAGCTGATAAGCAACTTCAGCAAAGTCTCAGGATACAAAATCAATGTACAAAAATCACAAACATTCTTATACACCAACAACAGACAAACAGAGAGCCAAATCATGAGTGAACTCCTATTCACAATTGCTAAAAAGAGAATAAAATACCTAGGAATCCAACTTACAAGGGATGTGAAGGACCTCTTCAAGGAGAACTACAAACCACTGCTCAAGGAAATAAAAGAGGATACAAACAAATGGAAGAACATTCCATGCTCATGGGTAGGAAGAATCAATATCGTGAAAATGGCCATACTGCCCAAGGTAATTTACAGATTCAATGCCATCCCCATCAAGCTACCAATGCCTTTCTTCACAGAATTGGAAAAAACTACTTTAAAGTTCATATGGAACCAAAAAAGAGCCCGCATCACCAAGTCAATCCTAAGCCAAAAGAACAAAGCTGGAGGCATCACACTACCTGACTTCAGACTATACTACAAGGCTACAGTAACCAAAACAGCATGGTACTGGTACCAAAACAGAGATATAGATCAATGGAACAGAACAGAGCCCTCAAAAATAATGCCGCATATCTACAACTATCTGATATTTGACAAACCTGAGAAAAACAAGCAATGGGGAAAGGATTCCCTATTTAATAAATGGTGCTGGGAAAACTGGCTAGCCATATGTAGAAAGCTGAAACTGGATCCCTTCCTTACACCTTATACAAAAATTAATGCGAGATGGATTAAAGACTTAAACGTTAGACCTAAAACCATAAAAACCCTAGAAGAAAACCTAGGTATTACCATTCAGGACATAGGCATGGGCAAGGACTTCATGTCTAAAACACCAAAAGCAATGGCAACAAAAGCCAACATAGACAAATGGGATCTAATGAAACTCAAGAGCTTCTGCACAGCAAAAGAAACTACCATCAGAGTGAACAGGCAACCTACAGAATGGGAGAAAATGTGCAATCTACCTATCTGACAAAGGGCTAATATCCAGAATCTACAATGAACTCAGATAAATTTACAAGAAAAAAACAAACAACCCCATCAACAAGTGGGTGAAGGATATGAACAGACACTTCTCAAAAGAAGACATTTATGCAGCCAAAAGACACATGAAAAAATGCTCATCATCGCTGGCTATCAGAGAAATGCAAATCAAAATCACAGTGAGATACCATCTCACACCAGTTAGAATGGCGATCATTAAAAAGTCAGGAAACAACAGGTGCTGGAGAGGATGTGGAGAAATAGGAACACTTTTACACTATTGGTGGGACTGTAAACTAGTTCAACCATTGTGGAAGTCAGTGTGGCGATTCCTCAGGGATCTAGAACTGGAAATACCATTTAACCCAGCCATCCCATTACTGGGTATATACCCAAAGGATTATAAATCATGCTGCTATAAAGACACATGCACACGTATGTTTACTGCGGCATTATTCACAATAGCAAAGACTTGGAACCAACCCAAATGTCCAACAATGATAGACTGGATTAAGAAAATGTGGCACATATACACCACGGAATACTATGTAGCCATAAAAAATGATGAGTTCATGTCCTTTGTAGGGACATGGATGAAATTGGAAAACATCACTCTCAGTAAACTATCGCAAGAACAAAAAACCAAACACCGCATATTCTCACTCATAGGTGGGAATTGAACAATGAGATCACATGGACACAGGAAGGGGAATATCACACTCTGGGGACTGTTGTGGGGTGGGGGGAGGGGGGAGGGATAGCACTGGGAGATATGCCTAATGCTAGATGACGAGTTAGTGGGTGCAGTGCACCAGCATGACACATGTATACATATGTAACCTGCACAATGTGCACATGTACCCTAAAACTTAAAGTATAATAAAAAAAGAAAGTAAATTGGCCTTAAAAATGTATCCCCTATTCTGCAAATTTGTTCTAATGAAATAAGTTGTGTATGCAGAAAAGGTTTAGTGGATGAATAGAAGTTCACTACAGCATTATCTACAATAGTAAAGAAAAATTGAGTACAATCAGATGCCCAACATCAGGGCTGGTTAAATATACTATGATTTATCAAAATGTGGCAGGCTATTCCTTCATTCAGAAAATGTTTATCAAGTGCTTACTCTGTACCATGCACTGTTCTGGAAATGTGAGAGATGCAGTGGACACAACAGACAGGAATCCTTCCCTTGTGACGCCTGCATGCTGGTGGGAAATAAAGACTGCAAGCACCACACACTTTTCATAGAAGTGCAGTCTGTGGCACATAGGAGGGTGCTGACATAAAACAGGGCAGGAGAATGGAAAACGTGCATGAGGAGGGGTTGTGGAGGAGTGGGAAGCTATTAAATAGAGTGGTCAGGTAAGGCCTCATTGAAAAGGTGACATTAAGTAAAAACCTGAAGAAGGCAAGGGAGCAAGCTGTGGGCAGAGAGTGTTTAAAGAGTGTTGTAGAAAATAGCAAATGCATGGCCCTAAGACTCCATGCGTATTCAAGGAATAGCAAGGAAAGCACCACAGCTGACGTGGAGTGAGCAAGGGGGAAAGAGCAGTAGATAAGAGTCAGCCAGATGCCTTGGGGCCTAGTGGACCACACTGAGGTCTTCAGAGTTCTCTCTGAACAAGGGGCACCAGCTGAGGGACAGAGAAGGCTGAGGAGTAACAAGATCTAACCAAGGTTTCTAAAGATCCATGACTACCATGCTGAAGACAGACATCAAGTAACAAGGTCAGAAAGGAAGAGACCTGCCAGGAAACTCTTAACGCATAAGATAATGTTGCCTTGGACTAGGGTTGAACAAGTGGCCAACTTCCAGCTGTATTCCAGAAGCAGAGCCAACAGGATTTGCTGCCATATTGGATACAGGATGTGACGAAAGAACAGATGTCAAGAAGAGTCGGCCATTCTGAAGGATGCACAAGAGAAAATTCAATGACATGAGAAAATATGCAGAATACATTTCGAAGTGGAAAAGCATGTTATAAAATAGTGTTTTCAGAATGATTCTATTTTTGGAAAGAAAAATACATATGTAGGAAAATACATACAACTAAGAAAGACCTGAAGGATATCAACTGAAATGCAAATAGTGCTTTCTTCTGGAGTAGGATTGTCAGTGGTTTTATTTTCTTCTTTTGCCTATATTTAATTTCTACTTTTCCCAACATGAATATGCATTGCTTTTTAACCAAGAAAAAATAATTCATTTAAATGTGATCACCCTCCCCACCTTCCTAACCCTAGGTCTGTCAAAATGAGACTCTCTTCTAGATTGCTTTATTATTTTCTCTGTTTTCCTAATGGTAATTATGGCTACTTGGTAGCTTAAAGCTCCAAATAATGAAGGCAGTTAACATTCAGAAATCTTCATTTTATTTCCCAAAAGCAATTCCAGGTAGAAGGGAGTCTGTCAGTCATGCATTCGAGGTAAACAGATGCATGGGAAAGTTTTAGGGTCATATTTAAGTTTTTAATTCATACCAGATTGTTAAACGTAAGTGAAGTACCCATCCCAGTATCAAGAATGAGTGTGGACGCCGATTAGAAGCATCACTGCCCCTTTCTATTGAGAATCAGTTTCTTGCTTTGTTAGGAGAGGCAAGACGCATGTGTGTGAAAACATGAGGAAGTATATCATGTAGCTCAGACAATCCATGGGACAGGTGGGTGGAGAAAAGATGAGAGCGTGTGCCGGGATATTCGGGTACAGCTGCCCGGAGGTTGTGAGAGCTGACCTAGCCCTAAAGGAAAGAACGGAAGGATGAGGCAGCCACAAAGAAGAGAAGAGGGCATTCCAAGTTACATAAAGGGGTTGTGGCTTTCTGCAGCTATTCGGTAAATAATGACAGCTTCTTTGAAGAAATCCTCTCAGGAACATCCAACCTTTCCTTTTATATGAGGTCCATAGAGGCTATTTACCAAGTTCTCTTTGTCCATGGAAATTTTCCTGTCTACCTAAAATGAAAGTCTACTAATCCTTCTCTTCCCTTAAATGAACAGTTAAAAATGAAACCTTTAAATTATGAGCATGATATTTATGTGTTTAAGAAATGAATTTCTTTAGCACAATAATTTTAACATTGCCAATTTCCCAGTTAATGGCTAAATAAATGGCTCCTACTTTTGGGTTTGGTAAATATTTCTCTCTCCATTATCATTTATTCTCTTGTGGGAGCCATAGACTGCATCATAAACTCAGTACAGAGAATTGTTTTAAGTTTATTTTATGCAATATTTAGTAGAAACTCCCTATAACATCCATTAGGGGAGATAATGGATTTCTTTCCTCTTCTAGAAACTCTGTACTTCTACTACAGTCATAAAATGAGCATTGTATACACTCTAGACCTGGGTCTGCCCAAGTTCTCAAATTGTGCAGATGTAGAAATAGGCACAAAGACAATTCTCTGCCATTATGTAAACATCCAGCCTTTGTTATCATTTTCGCTGTAGAAGAGAAATATCTGCTGTGTGAGACTGAATACCTGGCACCCCTGCAAGTCTACATGGATGCATATGTTTGGGAATTAGCAGGGTAAACTGAAGCTGTGACCAGTAATCCAGCAGGCGTGACATAGGCTCACAGAGTCATCAAGTTCATATGTTTCTCCTTTAGTGGCAGCAGCAGCAGCAACAGGAGATAACCCAAGGAGTGCCAAGGTGTGCCTGCTGCACACCAGAGACATGGGCTTTACTGCATGCTTCTGGATGCAGGACTTGGCCACCAATGCTGAGTTGTACCCAGTGAGAAGGTTGTGACTTCCCCCTTCCTCATACCACACACAGCTTCTCCAGCCACTTCCCCCCTTGGAATTTTTTTCAAAAATACCTATCACAATCTGTATTAGCCAGAGTTCTTCAGAGAAACAGAACCAATAGGATATATAGAGTGAGACAAAATAAGATTTATTATGGGAATTGGCTAACGTGACTATGGAGGCCAAGCAGTCCCATGATATGGCATCTGTAAGCTAGAGACCCAGGAAAGCCAGTGGTCTAATTCAGCCTGAGTCTGAAGGTCTCAGAACCAGAGAAGAGAGAAAGAATTCACCATTCCTCCACCTTTTTGTTCTATTTAGTCTCTCAATGGATTGAGTGATACTTGCCCACACTGATGAAAGCAAATCTTCTACCAATTCAAATGCCAATCTCTTCCACAAACACCCTCACAGACACACCCAAATATAATGTCTTACCAACTATCTGGGCACCCCTTAACCCAGTCAAGTTGACCCAAAACGTTAACCATCACACCATCTAATTTATTTAATATTTACTTCCATTATCTTGCTTAAAATATGGCTGTCTCCCTCTTTTAAAATGCAAACTCCATGAGAGCAGGGACTCTTGACTTTTTCCCCAGTTACCAGTATATTGTCTATAACTCAATAAATAGCTAGTGAAGGATGAATGAATTTTCCCCTAGTACCTATGAAAGCACCTAGAACATGGTACTCACTAAATAATTGCTGAATGAATAAAGGTTAACACATTTTATTTCATTTAATCCTGCAGGTAGACATTATTATCCCAATTTTACAGGCAAGAAAACTGAGACTCAAAGGGGTCCAGTAGCTTGATCAGGGTCATGTGCATGGTTAACAGTGGAGAGAGTGGAGAGAGAAGGCAAAGCTAGTTCTATTTCATGCCAAAGCTCTTATAATAATGCTAGGTTGATTGGAATTGCTTAATGTGGCATTTGGAAACAGATCCATTGAGAATGGATAGATTTATTGATATCTGCATATACCTTTAAATACAACTTGTAAACACTAGTGGCCTAGAGAAAAAAAATTAATCTGGTTCAGGTTCTCTTTTGTAGTCACCCATTTATCCTCAGATTTCTTTTGCATCATCAAAGTGTATTTAAACAAATATTTATTGAGCATCTATTATGTATCAAGCACAGTTCTATATATAGCAGGATACACTAGTGAACAAAAACTGTGTTTTCTTCTGTTCCAGAATCTTGACTCCTTACATTTTATTTGCCTTGGTAGTCTTAAAACCCAATTTTCTTCTCTACAGTCCTGTGAAATTCTGGGGAGCTTTGCTTGGTTTCTCTGTGCCTTAGTTGAGGCTCTCTGCTTTGTGCAGAGCCTCACCTGGCGCCATCTTAGGAATCATCAAATGCCTCAAGAAGAAAAGTACTGAAGAAAGTCTGGCTCATATCAACATTTCCCCTTCTCTCTGAGATGTTGGTCCCACAAGTCTGACTGCCTTGATATCTATCTACACCTCCTCAAATGGTTTTTTTGTATTGTATTCAGCTTTTCTAGTTATTTTCAGTAGGAGGGCTTATCTGTTTCTCTGATATGAGTTAGACCATAATGGTCAGAGGCAGATATCTTCTGTCTCTCTTTAATCTTCAATAACATGGTCATATTTGCCGCTGCACATCTGAGCATTTCAGTGTACAGCTGAGGAGGCTCATGTTCACATAGCCTTTTCCACAGTCATGCAACCTTGCATTCACCTTTTCTTTACTGTTCTTCATGGCTCTGACTACACTGACTACGTTTCTCCCCCTGACCAGTACCCACCTAAACTATTATCCCCTAACCTTTTTTTTTGTTTGTTTTTTGTTTTTGAGATGGAGTCTTGCTCTGTCGCCGAGGCTGGAGTGCAGTGGCGTGATCTTGGCTCACTGCAACCTCCACCTCCCAGGTTCAAGCAATTCTCCTGCCTCAGCCTCCCGAGTAGCTGGGACTACAGGTGCATGCCACCATGCCTGGCTAATTTTTTGTATTTTTAGTAGAGATGGTGTTTCACCGTGTTAGCCAAGATGATCTCAATCTCCTGACCTCATGATCCGCCCACCTCAGCCTCCCAAAGTGCTGGGACTACAGGCGTGAGCCACTGTGCCCGGCCCATTATCCCCTAACCTTAACCATCAAATACCTGCATCCCTCTTGGCTTTAAATGAATGGTTATGCTGAGCTTCTGCTGCTGCCCAAGGAAATTGACTCTTCCCACCAAATGATACCGTCTTACCACCCACTTCTGTCCAGCATGGCAGAGGACACTGTGGAGGAAACTTATATAATCTATAGATACCATAGACACCAAATGCTTCCGTTAGAGTTAAGTGTCATTGCCACTCCCACCGAGATGAGTCTGAGAACACTGAACCCTAGGATTTCCCTGATCTCTGGGGCAACAGAAGCAGCCCCCTCTCCCTTGCTAGAAGAAAGCAGCCACCCATTACCTGGGTACCACAGGAAGTCCTCACTTGAGGGGAATACTTACAAGATGACTTTTGTCCTTCACAGGATGCATCCTCACATCCCCTCATTGCCTCCAGCCCACTAGTTAAGGTCCATTATCTGCAAAACCCCAGAGAAGGAAATGAAGTCCCACGCAAAGGCAGTAAATGAAAACTATTCACCAAGTATTTGGTGACTGGTTTACTCATCAAGAGTTGAAAGGCCTAATACTTAGCAGCAGAAGTCAGAGAAACACATATGGGGGCAGATCTTGAGAGTGTTGGGTCAGGAGGTGTGGGTATTATACATAAGAGTGACTAGGGAAGGTTTACTGACACTCTCCTATAACTCACTGTCCTCAAGAGCACAATTGTGCCGATCCTAATAATGCTGGTCAGAGGTTTCTTGAAGCTTGGACAAGGTGACAGCCCACAGTCAATGAGGGAAAGATGCCATATTTGCCATGGCATGGTATTGAGGAAGGAGTCAGACAGTCCAGGGAGGATTTATTATGTAAGACCACAGACCTTGATCTTGTTCCCTGTGAGGCCAAGAAGACATGCCCTTTATATAAAAATAACAAACTCACTCATGAGGGACCACCAGCATTGTTGGGAATCTTACTAGTGATTGTCTTCCATGGTCTATGATTCACAGTAGGAAATGCGGCAACAGAACTGACCTCTCTAACATTACTGAAGATGAAGATATTTTGGAGTAGCAGAGGCCAAGTAGCAGCATTCAGCCATCAAAGTGAATATGACTACCACAAAATGAATATGACTACCATATGGCAGCAAGGCCAAGGTGCCAGCCAGGGTCCTGTACACACAGGCTATTTCTAGAGGAAAGATAGATGAGTACCCACCATGAATATTTCCTGACTTGTGTAACCAGAAAAAAAAATATTAAGAGAAGGTAAGCTGAAATCTGAAGTCTGCTGCCAAAAAGAAAAATGATAATCCCTCACCTAGCTCCCAGATTTGAGTCAGTTCTCAGGCTCCTGGCCTAGTGATTAGAGGGGAGACTGGGCCCCCTTGGAGAAAAAACCCTGCAATGCCACAAACCTTCCCCCAAAGGGACCTGTGTAACTTTACACTAAGAAAATGGAAATATACAGACTTTTCAGGGTATACAGGGTCTAACCTTACAATGACATCAGCAAAACGTGAAATTCCATGATGACAGCTAGTTAGGATGGGAAATTATGAAGGCAGGTGATAAATGGAGTTCTTGTCAAGGCAGGCTCAGTAGTGATGATGAGGGTGTTAGGACTCACCCTGTCATTACTTCCTCAGTTCCAGTGTGCTTAATTGGAAAGGATAGACTGAGCAGCTGGTAGAGCCCTCACGTTTTGTTTTCCTGACCTGTGAAATAAGAACCAGGAAGGAAGAAACAAATGGAAACCCAGAAAGTGCCCATTCCCACCTAAGATAGCAAATCAAAGCAATACCCTATTCCAGTGGAATGGCTGAGATCGATGCCATGCTCAAGAACTTAGCAAATGCAGGGGTGGTCGTCCCCATCATATCCCCATTCAATCCATCTACACCGTCTCTGCAAAAAATAGATGGATTTTCATGAATAACAGCAGACTACTGAAACATTATCTAAGTTGTAGTCCCAATTGCATGTAGCTGCCGAATTGGATGTGGTATCTTCACTGGAACAGATCAGCACAGCCTTTTGTACCTGGGTTGTGGCTATCCATCTGGCAAACAAGTCATCTTCAAGCCTCCTCAGGAAGGCTGGTCAAGATCAGTTCTGCTTTACTAAGAAAGGATATGAGTACACATTCACTGTCTTTCCCCAAGGCTATATATATTCTCTTTCTCTCTGTCACCTTGACACACCATGCTGGTATACTATATTGCTGACATTATGTTAATTGGACTTGGTGAACAGGAAGTGGCCGGTACTCTGGATGTCATAGTAAAACATATGAAAGTGAAACATAAATCATTTACAGTATCAAAGTCCTGCCATATTGGTGAAGATTTTAGGAGTCCCATGGTTTGCAGCATCCTAAGGTAAAAGATTACCCCTATGAAAAGGTATATTGTTTGGTGGGCCACTTTGGATCTTTGGAGGCAGCCAATATTGCGCTTGAGATTATTTATTTGACTCATTTATTGGGTCATTAGAAGTCTACCAGTTTTGAGTGGGACCCAAAGCATAAGAAAACTGCAGAAATTCTAGGCTTCAGGACAATGTACTCTGCTGTTGAGGCCATATAATTCAACAGATCCAACAGTGCTTGGGGTATCCATGGTAGAAAAAGATGCTACAGGAAACCTTGGACAAACCCTAATAGATTTGCAATACAGAATGGGTAGGGTTCTGGAGAAAGCCACGTCTACTCCATTCAAGAGACTATTTATTGTTTAATTACTCACCACTCAAAAAAACAGCTTCTGATGTGATAAGGGGTCAAGAGAGATCAAGCACCTGAAAGTGGGACATCAAGTGATTATATGATAGGAGTTTCCTATTACATACTGGACATTGTCAGATCTAACAAGTTGGTAAGGTTTGATGAAAATGGTATATTCAGGACCAGGTCTGAGCAAGTCCAGAGGGTATAGGGTGGCCCAGGGCTCCATGTCACCTACCTCTGCTGTCCTGACACGTCTCTCAGCTCACATCTATAAATATGGGGGCAGGAGTGAAGGAACTCTATGATTCACTGATGAAGGAGGAACAACACAGCTCATTCCTGGTTCATGGCTGGATTGGTTCAGATAATCAATGCTGCCTGAGAGTGGACAGCTGTCAAAACTACCACTTTGGTGGCCCTAAAGGACAGTGATGAAGGGAAACTCTCCTAGAGGGTAGAGCTGTGAGCAGTGTGCTTGTTTGTCCACTTTGCATGCCCGGAGAAGTGGTATGAGATAAGGATATACATGGACTTCCATGTAGTGGCAAATAACTTGGCTAGTCTTGGTCTGGGGTTTAGAAGGGGCAAGTTTAGATGATCAGAGACAAAGTGGTGTGGGAAGAAGCATGTAGATGAACTGTTGGAAGTGGCCGCAAAATGTGCAGATCTTTGTATCTCACATCAATGCCACTAGAGAAGATTCGGCACAGATGGGACACTCACTAACCAGGTAGATGGGAGGAACCGGCTGGTAGATGTCAGTCATCCTCTGTCCCCAGCCACCCCAGTGCTTGTACAATAAATGGAGAGTGGCCATAGTGGCAGGGAAGGCCATTATTCAAGGCCTCATCCATCATCCAGCATGGACTCTTTTTCACCAAGACAATTGGTAAATTTATTATTTATTTATTTATTACCAAATAAATAAATGTATTAGATCAGACCACTTCCACCTAGAGGGGGCAGAGTTCATCTTTACCAGAATTTACCTCTATTCTGAATGTGAGTTTGCTTTTCCTTCTCTGCTGCAGTGCCTCTGAGAACACCACTATCCACAGATGTGCAGGGCACCTGACGTACTGACATGAAATCCTGCAGACATCACCACTGTTAGTGGAACCTGTTTCACTGTGAGGGAGGCATCAGAGTGAGTGCAGGACCACAGGATCTACCATCCTACCACATACCACACCCCTGAAAGAGGCTCCCTGACAGATCTCTTTTAAAGGCTTAGCTAAGCTACCTAAGGGACGACACCCTATAGGGTGGAGGTACTTCCTCTATGATGCAAGGTGGGTATTGAACTGACCATTGCATGAAACTACGTCCCCAATGGCTAGAATACATGAGTCTGTGAACCAAAGGGTAGAATTAGGATTAACTCCTCTCACCATCACTCTGAGTGACCCACTTTGGGAATTTGAACTTCTCTTCCCTCCAATTACTGGCTCTGAGATTAGAAGTCTTGTCCTCCTAGAAAAGAAGTGTTTTCACTAGAGAATATAGCAGTGGTTCCACTAAACCTAAAGCTGTGCAGGCCATCAGGTCACTTTGGGCTAATGTTCATCAACCAGCAGGCAGAGAAGGGGGTAATGGAGGCAGGAGTGGGTATATGCATAACAGGGTATTCCTTGGTGCCTCTCTTGGTTTTTCAAGCTCAGCAATAGTGGAGTGGTTGCACAGCCAGGGGCTAGCAATGGAAGCACACAAAAGGGCTTGAACTGCTCACCAAGTTACTGGGTTACTTCACCTGGTAAACAACCTAAATCACATAGGCGCCACTAAGAGTAGGAGAAATCTAAAATGGGTAATGGGGAAGGGAGATGAGGAATTAATTACAGCTGGCTTAATCAGAACTGCCTGCATCCGCTGGTACTTTAGCATGGGACATGTACTTCATGTTGCCCAGGCTGGCCTCGAACTCCTGGGCTCAAGCGATCCTCTCACCTCAGCCTCTGGAGTAGCTGGGACTATAGGCACATGCCACCATATTCAGCAGGACATATACTTTTAAAAGTGTGGGATCTGCTGTCACCTTGAGGATGTACTAACTGGGTTGACTTCATGTAGGGCATGGGTAGATCTGAGCAGGGCAAAGTAGACTGCAGGAGATGTTCGGGATGCCCCACACCATGTCATGCCCTTTGCCACTGTTGATTTCAGCCATAGCTGCAGTGGGTAGTTCCATGCAAACTCACGCTCGAGCCAGTTTTGCTGCAGGGCCTTCTCAGAAGACTTCTCAGCCCATTTGGCCCAGGATCAACACAGCCCAGAAGTGCAGGGGCATTACCACGCCAGGGGCAATCCTCCAGCAGTGGGAGATACAAGCCTATGGATGAAGGTTCCCACCTCCCATCACTCAGATGAGAAACACCAAGAGGCTTCTTGTACCTTTCTCAGAGGCCACAGCAGGATCAATCCCCCATTGCACACAGCAGCCATCTCAATAATGCACCATTCTATTAGTGTCTCTCCTTCCCTGTCTCACCCTCCCTGCTCTCTCACTCCTGCCTCCAGGATTTTCCTCCCACTTAAAGTAACTGCTCCCAAGTCCTGCCCCATGTTCTACTTTCAGGAGTTCCCAAACTAAGGCAATAGCTGCACCTGCAAAGAAAGCGACTACTTGTTAATATGTGATATAATCCAGAAAAGCAAGAGTCCACCCAAAGTCAGAAGAGAAGAATTCAGAAGAGTAAGGTGGGTGTGGGCATATGATACGTATGAGGGGGCATTTGATAACTTCAACCTACCAAGTGCAGTTCATTCAGTAAGCCAGTAATATAGGGTTTTAGAGCTGACAATGTGAGGTATAATATACAAAAGCTTAGAAAGGCATAGGGAGACATCTATCTTTTTCCTTTGCTTTGAGGGCATGTGCTTGCATCAGCTCTGTGTGTGTGTGTGTGTGTGTGTGTGTGTGTATACACACACATACACTAGACTATAAAAAGAAATCACGACATCCATACGGAGGAACCTGGGTATTTGAATCCCAGAAACTTTCTCAAGGCCTCACTAGGGAAAGATAGTTCAGTTACAAGCCAAAGACTCAAGAGGAAAAAGCCCCTGGAGTGAATAAATAGTCTGATAAACCTAGACATATGTGGTAACTGCAGAAATAAGTCCTTTTTCATTTATAGAGGGAGAGAAGTTGCATATATTAATCATGTCTGCTCTTGCCCCCACTTTCAGGAACCACTTATATGCCTTATGAAACATCAATGTTCCATGAAACACAGTTTGAAAACCTGAGCTAACCTCTCACCTTTCTTCTAGAGCGTCTCCACTTGGTCATCTCTAACAGACCGGACCCCGCCACTTTGCTAGGATATCCCAGAGGAGACCAGAGCAGAATTCCCTGTGAAGATATTGCAAATGCTGCACCACTTTGACACAGACGAATATTGCCTTAATGCTTTCTCATTGCAGCTCCATTCTCATTCCTCTTGTTCTAATCTCACTGGGAACAGTAAGAAGCTGCCATCATTTTATGTTATACTTTTACATACTTTAAGGTTATTACTGATTAATGAGAATTAAAGGAAGCTGAGAATATATAAAGCATTTCTTATTTGCAGTTTTTCACTCCATTTGATATACAGACTGTGTATATCAAATAGATTTACAAACTGTGCTACAATATTTTTTTCTCTTATTGGTAGGGGCTGAATCAGACTCCCCTCCCCCTGCAAGAAAGAGATGTTGAAATCTTAACTCTTGGTACCTCAGAACTGACTTCATTAGGAAACAGGATTGTTGCAAATGTATACTTAAGATGAGGCCATACTGGCGTAGGGTGGGCCCTGGTCTAACATGACTGATGTCCTTACAGAAAGACAGCCACGGGCCGGGCACGGTGGCTCATGGCTGTAATCCCAACAATTTGGGAGGCTGAGGCGGGTAAATCACAAGGTCAGGAGTTTGAGACCAGCCTGGCCAAGATGGTGAAACCCAGTCTCTACTAAAAATACAAAAAACAAAATTAGTTAGGCACGGTGGCAGGCATCTGTAATCCCAGCTACTTGGGAGGCTGAGGCAGGAGAATCACCTGAACCTTGGAGGCAGAGGTTGCAGCTAGCTGAGATCACGCCACTGCACTCCAGCCAGGGTGACAGAGCAAGACTCTGTCTCAAAAACAAAAAACAAACAAACAACAACAACAAAAAAAAAACAAGAAAAGAAAAGAATGAAAGACAGCCCCATAAAAACAGAGACACATAGAGGGAGAATGCCATGTGACAACAGAGGCAGAGACTGAGGTTATGCAGCTGCAAGCCAAGAAATGCCAAACCACCAGAAGCTAGCAGAGGCATGCAATCCCCTACAGATTTCAGAGGGAGCATGGCCATGCCAACACCTTGATTTGGACTTCCAGCCTCCAGAACTGTGAGAAATTAAATTTCTGTTGTTTTAAGCCACCCAATTTGAAGTACTTTCATTATGGCAACCCTAAGAAACTAATATATTTATCTAAACTATTTCTCTTTGATCAAGTACCTAAGATGTATTGATCAGGATAAAAGTGTGTCTCCATTTTTCACCCATTTTCTCTCTTTTTGAGGGACTTTGACAGTTTCTGAATTAAGAGGCTATTTTTAGGAATAGTAATGTATGTATCAATTTTGGATGTATTTAATTAAAATTTGTAAATGAGCAGCACTGCTTTCAAAAAAGATCTGTCCTACATCTGTCTGCGATTCAAAGAGGTACTGAACTGACACTCACTACCCCTGCTGGCCTTAATAGATACACAATCCTCTCTAGGAATAGCAGAGCATTATTCTAAAATTAAAATAGTCACTAAAGCTGGGTGACAGAATGCCTTTATGTGGGGCCTCCACAGGTCTGGCTATGCCAGATTTAATTAAGGAGTTTTATTTGCATCAATAAATTGTTATCCAAGGTAAAATAAAAGTTATTTGATTTGTTCACACTCAATTTCATTTAGGTGAACAATTAGTAGTTTAAGTCTATTGCAAAATAATTCAGCCAAGAAATCAATTTTAGCACCTACAAAAAAGCCCAACCAGGCTATAATTACAGTCTTCCAAATGCTAATTACATACAGTTTTGGATGGGAAATATAGATATATCTATATCTCATCTTACTGTTTACCACCAAAAAATTATACTTGCATAAAACATGGGGAAATTATCTACATTATTTATGATTCTCAAAAGGTTAGAATGCTCCTTTTAAAGCCCCTTTGGATTGGCTTATATTAGTAATTAATTGTCTTCTCTGGCCGTATTTGTACCTCTTATTCTTCTTGTGCAGTCAAAAGCTAAAATGGGTTGGGCAGAAAGCTCCACAGGCATCAGGGACCAGAGATAAAAGTAGGAACTGGGACCTCAGGAAGAGTCTGGGCATCTCTGGGGCTAGTTGTCTGGAGTGTCAGTTTTCTTGGCTGGACAGCCACTTCTCAATGATCTCATCCACAAGAAGAAAGGTCATGAGTTGGGGAATGACCCCCAGTGGAGTAATTGGTGAAAACAACATTTGTTTCTAAATAGAAAATTAGATATATGCTCCAGGCAATCCATAAGGTGATGTGCTTGATGAACAACGAGAAGTAAGACAACATTCAACAGGTTGTTCTGAGAATTTTAATGTCTTCTAGACCATTCTGTATCTAAAAATTATGGATAAATACTTTGGAGCAATTTAAGAATGCAAAAGCAGTGCACGTTTGAGTTGGATTTTGTTATTTTGACAATATTATCTCACTCTGACAAAACCACACTCACTATGACAATAATGTTTTGCATTTGAAGGCTGGTCATAGTTTGTGAAGGTCCAACACGTTCTTCCTGGGAGGTAGATTTGCAAGTGATTATTACTGTCATGCTATTTCATAGTTGAAGAAGACACTGGGTGAATTGAAAAAGAAACTGAAGATTGGAGAAATTGGGTGATTCAACCAAGGCCCCACAGCTACTCCAGCACTACGTTATGTCATTATGCATATTTGACATTTGCATTTCAAAAGCAATGGTGAATATCACAACAAATATAAGTGCATTATTTTCTTTAATGTAAAGGGTTGTTTTGTATATTATTCACAGTACCATACAATGCCTTCTTTCCTGGACTGTGGAGAGAAGGTTCTTAATGTCTTAGCACCATAAAGAACTGCTCTTCTGAGCACTGGAGCAGTTACCCATTCACGTAGCTCATTATCTTTCTGGAAAAATTGATGTATTTCCTTCTGCATCACCTTTACTTGTAATGACACCTACATGTCTCTCCAAGGTGCCCTGGTTTTGAAAGGAGAAAGTAGGGATTCATTCAGAGATGAATATGGAAAAGCTAGGTGGAATGGGTAATAGTGAGGACAAGAAGGTGTCAGCTTCATGATCACAAATCATGGTGATTTCATGTGACTTTGATGCTAAGTTTGAAGAGAGATGTTGATGAAAGCAGTGTGCCCAGAAGAGGAATGGTGAGTAGTTGGGAAAGAATTCTTATGAGAAGCTGTGGAAGGAACTGGGAAGTGTTTACTCTGGATTGGAGAAGTCTCAGGAGACATGATACCTGCATTCTCTTATGTGGAAAGCCAACATATAGAGAGGCAGGGGAAGGTTTTTGGTGGATGCATGGGGCATAGTGAGATCACAAGGAAAAGACCACCAGGAGGGAAAGTTCACCTCAATTTAAGAAAAATTGTTCTAACAATTACAGTGACAAACAATGGTCAGAGTGTTTTGTGGAGTTTTCCATCCTTGACTGGAAGTACACAAGCAATGACTAGACATCTGTCAAAAAGAGTACCACATGAGAGTTTCAGCCAAGTGGCCTTGAGGTATCTTCCAGCCCTAAATGCTGATGATTCTAAGAATAAGTCCTGCTCGACTCCCTGGTTTCACTATTCCGTGACATTTGATAGAGACCTCTCTACAGAGCACCTACCATGATCTCAGGGCCATGCTATAGTATCATTCCTTAAGCTTGTTCTTTCGATTCTGGCTGCTTGCCTCTGAAGAGTAATATCAAACCCTGAAGCAACCACGAAGTGCAGATGGGAAATCCCTATTAATTGTTGGTGTACTTCTTATTTTACTCAGTAGACTTTTGTATCTTCTGCATACCTCAGTTGGCAGACACTCAATAAAGTCTTGATGAGTGAATGAATGAATGCCTGTGTGTATGAGTGTGAATGTTAGCTTAACAGCTAATTATGAAAACAATATTCCAGGCTTCAAGGAAAAAATAAAAGGGCAAGAATACAGAAAATCTTTTGAACCCTTTAAAGCAGGTGTAAGTTAGAACTTAATTAGCAACAATTGTTTATGTTTTTAAAAAATATTCTTAGCAAACTAGAAATAGAAAATTTTTCTTAGACTTTTTTAAAGATTTAAATACAGCATATGTCATATTAAATAGTCAAATATTAAAAGCAACTCCTTTAAAGTCAAATAAAGCAAAAATGTTTGCCAGTGCCATTTATAGTGAACATTCTACTGAAGGTTCCCACATTGTGCAATAAGACAAGAAAAAGAAATACAAAGTATAAGAACTACAAATTTAAAAACAAAATTGGCATTATTTCCAGATAATATGATTGTCTTTCCCAGAAAAAACCCAAATAAATCTGAGATTAGTAAGGTTTCTAGACATAAATTTGATATACAAAAGTCAGCTGCATATCTATACACCAGTAACTGATGGTTAAAAAATAAAAAATTACTACTTATAAAAGCAACCAAAACATAAAATACCTAGCCATAAATGTAACAAAATATTAAAGGACTTTTAGGCAAATATTTAAATTCTCTCAGTAACTCCTGGTGGGAGAATAAGTTGTTTTACTCACTTTAGAAAAATAGCATTATCTAATAAGTTTAAACATATGCATTTTCTATGATTTAGCAATTCTATTCTCAGGAATATATCACAGAAAAATACTTTTTCATGTACACTAAAATATACATACAGAAATCCTTATATCAGCATTGTAATGCAAAACTTGAAAACAATACCCATCAATATCAAATGTCCATCAAAAATAAAATGGATAAATATATTACAGCACAAATAATACTAATGATGATGATGATAAAGGGGGTGAGAGAAAGCTAGGAGGTGATGGATGGTAGTGATAGTTTCATGGGTGTATACTTACCCTCAAAATCCAGTTACATACATTCAATATGTACAACTTTTTAACATTTCAACAATATCTCAATAAAGTGGTTTGAAAATATAGAAAGAGCAAATTTATTCAATGAAATATTACACAGTTATGAAAATGAATGAACCACAGCTACATGCTCTAGAATGTATTAATCTCTTAGTGGAATTATTTGCAAAATAATTGGAATATTCAGAATATGTCATAAGGCAATACTTCAGCTTATGTGTGGGCTACATATGAACTTCTCAGGATTCTTGGTTGTAAACAACAGGAACCAACACTGGTTAACCTAAGGTAAAAAAAAAAAAAGAGTTTCTCAGATGGCTGTGAAGTAATCATGCATTTGGGGTAAGCTACGCCTAGAGAGCCAGGGTCGAAAACCAGACTGATGGAAACTTGTGAGGGCCACATCCCAGGAATCGGTCAGTTGCCACCATAGCTGTGAACCCTGAGCTGCCCTTGTGTCCTCACACCCTTACTCTAGATTCAGGTCTCTGATGGGCTTAAGTCACACATCTGTGTGTTTCAGTCACACATCTGTGTTTCGATCACACATCTATGTTTAAGTCACATGTCTATGTTTTTACTGCCAGGTTTCAGTATGAGCAAATATCTAATATTTTAATTTCTGGATTATATAAACTTAGGAAGGGAATTCAAGTGATAGGCACTGCAGATGGATGGGTGAATGAATGAATGAAAAATGGAGAGGAAAAGAGTCATGAAAGAGCAAGGAGGAAGGAAGACTAAAAATTATCTGCAGGGCTCATTAAGAGTTCTGGCTTCTGAACTTCCAAAACTACTGAATCTTAATTTCTGAAGTTGACAGGAAGAGGAGGTTCAACAGGAAGTGTCTGTGTTTTTAAGCTGCACCCCAGGTGATGTTTTAAAATTTGAGAATTACTGGCATAAATAATGCAGATCCACAAATCAGAAAGTGTTACTCTTTTTGTGCCTTTCAGTGACAGTGACTGACTTTGCTCTTTGAAGGTCTGGGGCATGCCCTAAAAGAATTCTAAATGTCTTTTCTTTCTAATCATCTCTTTACCAATTTATGGTCTCTAAGTGCATTTCTTAAAGTTGCATAGCAGCAATTTCAATTTAAGAAAGAACAATGTTAGGATTTGAATAGAGTCCAGAGAAAATATTACCTGAGTATCCAAATAAATACTAATACTTGTCACTTAAATAGCAATGCCTATATGCCAGGCACTGTTCTAAGTCTTTTACATCTCTTATCTGATTTAATAATTCCAACAAATTGTATGAAGAGTTTCCAGATGATGCAACTGAGGCCGCAAGATGTTAAATAATTCACCCCAGCTAATGACTGAGGTGGCTGCGTTGAATGTAGATAATCTGTTCCACGGTCTTGACCATGATTTAATAACCATCTCAATAAATATGGTTTGATTGGACAAAAGTTTTAAACTTCTCTTATTGGTCATAAATAATCAAAATAAAAATAGAAGAAAATTTAAAAATAAAGATTTATAACCATTAAAATGATCTCTTCTTAATTTGGCCTTGGTCAATCTGTTTTGACTGTCTCTGCTCTCAGTGGCTAAACAGCATTTTAACAAGTTTTCTACACACTAAGTGCCTATGAACTCACCAAGTTCATCTGGGCTGATTGTTTCTCTCTTTTTTAAAAAACAGTTTTTTGGCAAAGGTGTAGTGGCGGCTCATGCCTGTAATCCCAGCACTTTGAGAGGCCGAGGCAGGAGGATCACTTGAGGTCAGGAGTTCAAGACCAGCCTGGCCAACATGGTGATACTCCATCTCTGCTAAGAACTCAAAAAAATTAACCCGGGCCTGGTGGCACATGCCTGTAATCCTAGCTACTCGGGAGGCTGAGGTGGGAAGATTGCTTGAACCTGAGAAGCGGAGGTTGCAGTGAGCTGAGATCACGACACTGCACTCTAGCCTGGGTGACAGAGCGAGATTCCATCTCAAAATAAATACATAAATAATAGAAGTTTTATTGAGATATAATTGTTATATAATAAACTACACATTTGACGTATACAATTTGATGAGTTTGGACACATGTACATTTCCTAGAAATCATCACCATATATTCAAGCCAATAGACATATCCATCACCTCCAAAAGCTTCCTTGTGTCCCTTGGTATTTTTATGTGTGGTAAGAGCATTTAACATGAGATCTACCCACTTAAGAAATTTTTAAGTGCAAATAATACATTATTATTGACTATAAGCATTATGCAACAACATATCTCTATAACTAATTCATCTTACATAACTAAAACTTTATTTCCAATTCCCCATTTCCTTCTCCCCCCAGCTCCTAGGAACTGTATTCTCTGCTTCTGCTAGTTTGACTGTTTTAGGTACCTCATGTCAGTGGAATCATGCCGTATTTGTCCTTTTGTGACTGGCTTTTTCACTAACAACATGTCCTCAAAAGCCATTCATGGTGTCACATATTTTAGAATTTCCTTTTTTTAAAAAACTGGATAATATTCCATTGTACATATATACCACATTCTCTTTATCCATTCATCTATCAACGAACACTTAGGTTGTTTCCATGTCTTGGCTATTGTGACTGGTATTTCAATGAACATGGGATGCAGATATCTTTTTGAGATCCTGATCTCAATTTTGGGAGGTATATACCCAGAAGTGGGATTGCTAAATCATAAGGTAATTCTATGTATTTTTTTTGACGATACCATTTTCCACAGCAGCTACACCATTTTACATGCCCACTGACAGTGCAGAAGGGTTCCAGTTCCTCCACATCCTCGCAAGTGATTGTTCTTTGTATTCCCACACAGCCAGCATCTACTCATCTTCAGTGAGCTCCAGCTCATTGTTAGTAAGCAGCTTCACTTTTTGGAGCTGCATCTTAGCTTACATCTTTATAGTGCAGCTCTCTCCTGGAGGAGCCTAAGGCAAACCTTTCTTAGCTGCTCTTCCTGATTTGTATAATTTTCCATAATCCAACTGTTAAGGATTCATCCTAGGTTAAATGTAGTTGATTCTCTTAAAACAGGAATTTAAATCAAATTGAGTATTTTTTCACATATCCTACGTATAAGATAATTATAAACAGAAATGTGCTATGTCCTCAAGAGTCATTCGTGTTGTCACATATTGTAGAATTTCCTTCTTTAGATGTAAGTTTCCTTAGATGTATGCTAAGATGCAGGGTCAGAACAGACACATGTAAGAAAGCAGGCATCCTGATGGAATGATATGGTTGAAAGAGCTCATTCAAGAGCTCGCTGAGCACTTCCTACATGTTCAACATAGAGGTCATCTAAGAAAAACAGGACGTGGCTCCTGCCTGCAGTGGCACCTATCACAGTTAGGCAAACAACACCAGCTATTGCAGTGGAACAAAAGCAGATCGTATATGCTAAAGAGTGAAACTGAATACTCCCATAAACAGATGGGAAAAAATGTGGGCTGGATGACAGAAGTGCTGGGTGATTCACACATAACTGGTTGAACAAACATACCCAACAGGGCCTATTAATGAACAAATGTCAACAGATAGTGAGGTCTCTATTGGCTCTACCCTCACTGCAGACTTGTCCGACATTTTGATAAATGATTTGGATAAGAAGAGTAACAGTATAATTGATCGAGTCTGTGATATCATGAAACTGAAAGTGATAGTAAACACACTGAATAATAGAAGCAGAATCCTAGAAGCCTACAGTATTGGTCTGTTCTGCCAGCATGGTGAGTGGGGTGGTGTGTCCCAACAAAGTGAGGAGACACACTTCTGACCAGCACTGCACTGACCACACCTAAGGCGGCCCTTCTAGGGCAACTCACTCAAACGGAGAATTTTCAATTAGATCAGATTCTGGAAAGAGTGACCAGGAGAACATGCCTTGAGACCAGTGTAACTGAGGGGAGAATAGGCAATCTAGCATAGGGAAGATAGCCTATGGTCAGTTGTCATTTCCATATGTTTAAAAAAATAGACATGAAATAGGACTTCAGCTTATTTGATGTCATTTCACAAGGCTGAACCTCACAGATTTTGACTTTATAGCATAAGCCTTTCAAAGAGAAAGAAAAAGAGTATTGATTTAGTACCTATCCAGTGCCAGAAACTGTACTTGGCATTTTACATCCTCCTTCTAGCAATCAAATAAGATATAAATTATTATCCCATTTTACATACTATTCCATTTATCTATTGCTGAATAACAAACTTCTACAAAACTTAGTACCTTAAGACAACAATTGATTATTCTTATACCTCATCGTTTTGTGGGCTAGGAATGTGGACAGGATGGAGGAAGAATAACTTCTGTCTCTCCCATGGTGTCTGGAGCCTCCTCTGGAATGTCTTGGCTATTTAAGTAACCTTCTGTATTTCTCTGCCCAGCCTCTTCACCTGTGGGCTTCCTCACAACATGGCAGACTTAGGGTAGAAGTTCTTACTTAGTAACTCAGGGCTCCAGAAGAATGAGGCAGATGCTGTCACTCCTCTTAGGTCTAAGCCTGGAACCAGAGCAGCATCATTTCCTCTGTGCTCCAGTGGCTGGGGGTAGTCACAGGGCCAGCCCACATTCAAGATGAGGGAATAAAAACAACATCAAAATGGTTCGTGACCATTTTAAATTCATCACACAGATGAGGAAGTACAGGAAGGTGGGAAGTGGCAGAGCCAGGACTCGAGCTACATCTGACCAACTGTCATTTCCTTCCCCACTCTCATTACCCTCAGTAACACATCCGTGTGTGTGGGCTCAAGGGTCTCCTCTAAGATAACTTTAAACTGTGTGTTTTCATCCCCAGCCTTGCTGCTAAGCTCCAGGACTATCTCCAGTGGAAACTGTACATGTCCATTTGAATTTCCTCGAGCCAACTCAGACTTAGCAGGATGAGACAAGAGTTCAGAATTCATCACAGGTCCTATCTCCATCCCGATCTAGGCAAACCAGCAGCTCGCCAGTCACACTGGCTCAGAACCTCATGTTGACTTCTGTCCCTGCCCTCTCACTTTTTTCCTGTGTCCAGTCAGTCACCATTGCCAAGGCCTGTAAATTCGTAGGCACAACAGTCTTCAAGGCTGCTCAAAGATCAGTTCTGCCTACATCCCCTCCAGCCACCTACCATGCTCACCATCCCCAGCCACACTGCCTGCTGCTCCTCCAAAGCCTCTCCACGGACACCATCTCCCTAGAAAGACCATTCTATCAAACATTACTGATATTGTTATGTCTGTTTATTTCTTATTTATTGTCTGTTTCTCCTACTAGAGCAATGCTATTCAATAGAAATATAATTTGAGCCACATCTGTAATTTTACATTTTATGGTAGCCACATTTAAAAGGGCATAAAGAAACAGGTAAAATTAATTTTAAGAATTTATTTCACTTAATCGTGTATATTGGTCCATTTTCACGCTGCTATAAAGTTACTACCTGGACTGGGTAACTTATAAAGAAAAAAGATTTAATTGACTCACAGTTCTGCATGGCTGGGGAAGCCTCAGGAAACTTACAATCATGGCAGAAGGTGAAGGGGAAGCAAGGCACATCTTACATGGTGGCAGGCAATAGAGTGCAGGGGAAAATGCCACTTTTAAACCATCAGATCTCATGAGAACTCCCTCATTATCACGAGAATAGCATGGGGGAAACTGCCCCCATGATCCAATCACCTTCCATCGGTTCCCTCCCTCAACATGTGGGGATTACAATTCTAGATGAGATTTAGGTGGGGACAGAGAGCCAAACCATATCACCATGATATCCCGAATACTATTATTTCAACATGTAATCAATATGAAAAATCATTAATGAGATACTTCACATTTTTTGGTCTAAATTTTGAAATTGATGTGTATTTTGCCCTTTGTTTACCTCTCATTCAGACTGGCCACATTTCAAGGGCTTGGTAGCTACACGTGCTAGTGGCCGCCATCTCGGACAGCACAGCTCTAAAACAAAAGCTCTTTGAGGATGTGGACTTTGTTCTCTTTGTTCACCTCTCTCTTCAAGGTGCCCTGAACTTAAAAAATATTTTCTTACTGCATGCGTGCAGGAATGCAATGAATGAAATGCATCCCTTGCTTTTGATTCTCCCCCACCCCTTCCTCCTGACCTCACAGTGGCAGAAGCCTTCTACCTGTCAAGCATCTACAGGTGTGGCAAGGAACTGCTCCTTTCCAGCTTGAGATGCTCTTCCCACACCACCAGTTTCTGTCTTGAGCCTCTTTCCACCGGTGGGAGGACTCAGAGTAAGGCTTGTCTGGCGGCCCCAACCAATGGACACCTGCCTCTTCCCATTTCTTCCCACAGCATGAGCATGTGTGACTTCAGTCCTCTCTCCTCACCCCTGTCCTAACCTCCCACTTATTATTTCTACCCCTCACCCTTCATCCTGAGGTCCAGAGCAGAGTCCCTGAGAGCTTGAAGGTCTTTGGTGTACTGAGGTCGAAGAACGCTGACCTCTGACCTCTCACTTTTTGAATGAGAAAACCTAGGGTGAGAGGCCTGCCAGGTTTGAATCTGTGCCCAGCTTGATTCTGAGGCTCTTTGAGGGACCCCACCCTGCGTGTCTGTCCACTGTTTCTGGGACAACCTGGTTCCAGCTTGCAGCCTGGCTCTTAGCCTTGGCTGACAGTTCCAGTCTTTGCATCCCCAGATGTCACATCTTGGGGTGGCACAGAGCACTCTGCTGGCTTGGAGCTTCTCCCCAACTAACCTTTTTGACAGCTTCATTGAGATATAATTTACATACCATACAATTCACCCCACTAAAGTATATAATTCAATGGATTTTATTATATTTACAGTTATGTGCAACCATCTTCACAGTCAATTTTCATATCACCTCAAAAAGAAACCTTTTAGACCCATTCACCCATTGAGGGACATTTGAGTTTCTCCTGCCTTATGGCTATTATGAATAATGTCGCTGTGAATATTCACGTAAACCCCTCCACTGATTCTTCCTACCTCTTGCTGCCAGGTGACTTTTCAGCAAGCATTGGAAAGCAGGTCAGTCCACTGTTCCTAACATCTGCCATATTGGTCCTGGCACTGGAGGCTCTTCATCACAGGGGCCTTCTCTACTCCCCACACCTGGCTGCAGAGAGGCAGTGAAAGGTCGTGGTCAAGGTCAGGGTCTGAAAGCCAGGGCCTCACCTCCCAGCTGGTAATGAGCTCAGCCAGACAGAAGGACAGCCCAGGTTCAGGGTTTGGGAAGAATGGCAGTTACTCACTTTGGTTTACTATCAACATGGCAAGGACATGGGGGATGTGCTCCCCAGGCCTGCCCTCTGCTCCTCACAGAGACAGACCCCAGGCTTAGAGAGGCAGCCAACCAGGCTGAGTGAGCCATTGCCCGGTGAGAGGAGCAGGGCCCACCACCCCTCTCATACCATTTTGAGGCTGGGAAAGGGGCCGCAGCAGCTCTCAGGAGTTCACCGCCTTAGCACTGCAGTCACACCCTCTGTATTGTCTCTTACTACCTCAGCACGTACCACCACTGTGATTTTAGACAACTTATTTAACCTCTCTGTGCCTCAGTCTGCTCCCCTGCAAATGGGGATAATAATAGTACCAACCTCAGAGCATTCTTGAAAATGCATGCCTGAGTGCTTAAACCCCGCCGGAACAAGGAGAGCTCCATGTGTGTTAGCGATTCTTTCTTCCCAAATCAAACACTTTGTTGTAGTGAGATTTATCTCCTCCCCATGGTCCTCTCTTCACACCAGAGGTCTGGATTCTCTGCTTATCTAAGTTCTGGCTATTTGTATTAGTTTCCTATTGTCACTGCAACAAATTGTCACGAACGCCGTGTCTTAAAACAACATATGTTTTTTCTCTTAGGATTCTACAGGTCAGAAGTCCAAATGAGTCTCGCTGAGCTAAACTCCGAGTGCCAGCAGGGCCATGTTCCTTTCTAGGGGCTCTGGGGAAGAATCTGGTTTTTGGCTTTTTCCAGCTTCTCCCCTCCCACTCTCGCATTCTCCCTTCAACACGCTGGTTCACTTCTGTACAAAGTTGAGTGCAGTTCACCACAGACCCCTCTCCCTGTTAAATCAGCAATTGTTTTTACTGATTTAAATCTGTCCTGATCATTTTAATCAGTGTCCAGCTTTGTTTATCTTTGGCAATCCCCTTCGTCCATCCTCCAAGCCAGCAATGGCCTGCAGAATCCTTCTCCCATCATGTCAGCCTGCCTCTCTGAGTCTGTTGCCTTGTCTTCTCTGACCCTCCTGCCTGCCCCTTCTTCCACTTGTGAGGACCCTTGTGATGTCATTGGGCCCCCAGATAATCCAGGATTATCTTCCTATCTCAAAGTCAGCTGATTAGCAACCTTAAACCCACCTGCAACCTAATTCCTCCTTGCCAAATAACGTAAGATCTTCAGAGGTCTCGGAATCAGATGTGGACGTATTTGGGGGGCATTATATAATGCATGTCACACTATTCTCTTTTTCCCCAACATCACTGAGGTATAGTTGACAATTAAAAATTTTATATATTTAAGGCGTACAACTCAATGATTCAATATATGTATACATTGTGAACTGTCCACCACAATCAAGCAAATTAATGCGTTTATCACCTCACATCGTTATCATTTTTTGATGTGGTGAGAACACTTAAGAGCTGCCTTCTCAGCAAATTTCAAGTCTACAATACTGTTACTGTAGTCACATTGCTGTATGTAGTTGTCCAGACCTTATTTACCTTACATAACAGACCTCGCTCATACCCTTTGACCAACATCTTCCCATATCCCTCCCCTTCAGCCTCCAGTAACCACTATTCTACTCTCTGTTTCCATGATTTGACATTTTTGGATTTCAGGTTTATGTTGTCACAAATAACAGAATGTCCTTCTTTTTAAAGGCTGAATAATATTTCATTGCATGTGTATATACAACATTTTATCCATTCATCTGTCAATGGACATTTAGGTTATTTCTGTATCTTGGCTGTATCTTGGTGAATAATGCTGCAAAGAACAGATATATCTTTAAGATACTGATTTCATTTTCTTTGGATATAGACCTCACAATGGGATTGCTGATCACATGGTGGTTCTATTTTTCCTTTTTTGAGAAACTTCCCTATTGTTTTCCATGATGCCTGTACCAATTTACATTCCCATCGATCGTGGACAAGGGTTTTATTTGCTCCACATCCTCACCAACATTTGTTATCTCTTGTCATTCTGATAATAGCCATCCTAACAGGCGTGAAGTGACATCTCATAGTGGTTTTGATTATCACTTCCCTGATGGTTAGTGATGTTGAACATCTTTTCATATACCCGTTAGTCATTTGTATGTCTTCTTGGGAACAATGTCTACTCAACTCCTCTCTCTGCTTTTTAATCAAGTTTCGTTTTTTTCTGTTGAGTTGTATGAGTTGCTCATATATTGTGGATATTAACCCCTTATCAGATGTATGGCTTGCAAATATTTTCTCCCATTCTGTAGGTTGCTTTTTGTTGTTGTTGATTGTTTCTTTTGCTGTGCAGAAACTTTTAGTTTGATGTAGTCTCACTTGTTCCTTTGTGCTTTTGGTTTCATATCCAAACCATCATTGCCAAGACCAATGTCATGAAGCTTTTCACCTATGTTTTCTTCTGGGAGTTTTAGAGTTTCAGGGCTATGTTTCAGTCTCTTTGAGTTGATCTTTGTGTATGGTATAAAATAAAGATACAGTTTCGTTTTCTTGCATGGGGGTATCCAGTTTTCTCAACACCACTTATTGAAGAGACTGTCTTTTCCCCGTTGTGTATTCTTGGCACTTTTGTTAAAGACTTGTTGACCACACATGTGTGACTTATTTCTGGGCTTTCTGTTCTTTTCCGTTGTCCTATGTGTCTGTTTTTATGATAGTACATGTTATTTTGGTTAGTATAACTTTGTAATATATTTTGAAATCAGAGCCGGTAATGCCTCCAGCTTTGTTCTTTTTGCTCAAGATTGCTTTGGCTAGTCTGGGTCTTTTGTAGTTCCATATGATTTTTTTTTCTTTTTTTTGAGACAGAGTCTTGCTCTGTCACCCAGGCTGGAGTGCAGTGGTGCAATCTCAGCTCACAGTAACCTCTGCCTCCCAGGTTCAAGTGATTCTCCTGCCCCAGCCTCCCGAGTAGTTGCGATTACGGGCACCTGCCACCATGCCCAGCTAACTTTTGTCTTTTTAGTAGAGGTGGGGTTTTACCATGTTTGCCAGGCTGGTCTTGAACTCCTGACCTCAAGTGATCCACCCACCTTGGCCTCCCAAAATGCTGGAATTATAGGTGAGAGACACTGTACCTGGCCGCATATGAATTTTAGGGTAGATTTTTCTATTTCTGTAAAGGACATCATTGGGATTTTGATAGGGATTGCTTTGCATCTGTAAATCAGTTTGGGTAGTTTAGACATTTTAGCAATATTAATTATTTCAGTCAATATGGATATCTTTCCACTTATCAGTATCTTCTTTAACTTCCTTCATCATTGTTATAATTTTCAGTGTACAAGTGTTTCATTTCTTTGGTTAAATTTATTTTTAAGTATTCTCTTTTTTTGTTGCTATTGTGAATGGGATTATTTTCTTGATTTCCTTGTCAGATAGTTAACTGTTTGTGTATAGAAATGCCCTGATTTGCATATATTGGTTTTGTATCCTGCAACTTTACTGAATGTATTTATTAGCTCTAACAGTATTTGGTTGAGTCTTCAGGGGTTTCTATGTATATAACCATACCATTCTCAAATAGGGATAATTTTACTTCTTCCTTTCCAACTTGGATGTCTTTATTTTTCTTGTCTCATTGTTCTGGCTATGACTTCTAGCACTATGATGAATAGAAGTGGTGAGCATGGACATCCTTGCCTTGTGCCACATCTTAGAGGGAAAGCTTTCAGTTTTTCCCCATTGAGTTTGACATTAGCCGCTATCACACTATTTTTTAATGTTCAGCTCTGGTTCCCCTTTGTCACAGAATCTTCCCAAATGACCCAGACATCAGGACCTTTTTTCTGAATGTCCATAAAATTCATCCTCTGTAACCTTCATTTGACACATATTTTATGTCCTCCTGTATTGTTTGTAAGTGAAATGTGAATTCTGAAAAGGTGTGAACCACTTCTTGCCACCTGGGAGTAGACGGCATGAGCAGAGGAGAAAGGCAGGATGAGAAGCTATTTAATAAATGGCGCTGGGAAAACAGGCTAGCCATATGTAGAAAGCTGAAACTGGATCCCTTCCTTACACCTTATACAAAAATTAATTCAAGATGGTTTAAAGACTTAAATGTTAGACCTAAAACCATAAAAACCCTAGAAGAAAACCTAGGCAATACCATTCAGGGCACAGGCATGGGCAAGGACTTCATGTCTAAAACACCAAAAGCAATGGCAACAAAAGACAAAATTGACAAATGGGATCTAATTATACTAAAGAGCTTCTGCACAGCAAAAGAAACTACCATCAGAGTGAACAGGCAACCTACAGAATGGGAGACAATTTTTGCAATCTACTCATCTGATAAAGGGCTAATATCCAGAATCTACAAACAACTCAAACAAATTTACAAGAAAAAAACAAACAATCCCATCAAGAAGTGGGCAAAGGATATGAACAGACACTTCTCAAAAGAAGACATCTACGCAGCCAACAGACACATGAAAAAATGCTCATCATCACTGGCCATCAGAGAAATGCAAATCAAAACCACAATGAGATGCCATCTCACACCAGTTAGAATGGCAATCATTAAAAAGTCAGGAAACAACAGGTGCTGGAGAGGATGTGGAGAAATAGGAACACTTTTACACTGTTGGTGGGACTGTAAACTGGTTCAACCATTGTGGAAGACAGAGTGGCGATTCCTCAAGGGTCTAGAGCTAGAAATACCATTTGACCCAGCCATCCCATTACTGGGTATATACCTAAAGGATTATAAATCATGCTGCTATGAAGACACATGCACACGTATGTTTATTGTGGCACTATTCACAATAGCAAAGACTTGGAACCAACCCAAATGTCCATCAATGATAGACTGGATTAAGAAAATGTGACACATATACACCATGGAATACTATGCAGCCATAAAAAAGGATGAGTTCATGTCCTTTGTAGGGACATGGATAAAGCTGGAAACCATCATTCTCAGCAAACTATTGCAAGAACAAAAAAACCAAACACCGCATGTTCTCACTCATAGGTGGGAAATGAACAATGAGAACACATGGACACAGGAAGGGGAACATCACACACCAGGGCCTGTTGTGGGATGGGGGGAGGGGGGAGGGAAAGCATTAGGAGATATGCCCAATGTAAATGACGAGTTAATGGGTGCAGCACACCAACATGGCACATGTATACATATGTAACAAACCTGCATGTTGTGCACATGTACCCTAGAACTTAAAGTGTAATAAAAAAAAAAAAAAAGAAGCCAAAAGGCTGCACTTCAGTCCCACCCAACTGGAAGACATCGGGCAAGTTCCTGAACTTCTATGACCTTCATTTTCTCCACAAAATGGGGTAAATCCACAACTCTAATCCTAGCCATTATAAAAATAAAAATAAAGCAACATAACAATAAAAATCAAACAACTCAATTAAAAATGGGCAAAGAACTTAAATAGACATCTCTCCAAAGATGATATACAAATGGCCAATAAGTACATGAAAAGATGCTCATCATCACTAATCATTAGGGAAACGCAAATGAAAACTACAATGAGATACCTCTTCACACTCATTAGAATGACTATTATGGAAAAAAAAAAAAAAGAGAGAGAGAGAGAGAACCAGAAAGAGAACCCAGAAAATAACAAGTGTAGACAAGGACGTGGAGAAATTGGAACACTTTCACATTGCTGATGGGTATGTAAAATAGTAAAATGATGAAGCTACTGTAGAAAAAATGTTATAGCAATTCCTCAGAAAAATTAAACAGAATTACTGTATGATCCAGCAATCCCACTTCTGGAAATATACCTCCCAAAATTGAAAGCAGGATCTCAGGCAGATCCTTGTACACTCATGTTCATAGTAGCAGTATTCACAATAGCCAAAAGATGGAAGCAACCCAAGTGTTCATCAATGGATGATGAATAAACAAAATGTGGCCTAGCCATAGAACAGAATATTATTAAGCCTTTAAAGGGAAGGAAATTCCAACACATACTACCACATGGATGGCCCTTAGGGACATTATGCCCAGTGAAATAAGCCAGTCACAAAAGGACAAATACTCCATGATTTCACTTATATGAGGCACCTAAAGTAGTGAAATTCATAGAGACAGAAAGTAGAATGTTGGTTGCCGGGAGCTGGGGGCAGGGGGGAATAGGGAGTTATTGTTTAATGAGGGCAGATTTACAGTTAGGGAAGATGAAAATGTTCTGAAGATGGATGGTGTGGATGGTGGTGATGGCTGCACCATACATAATGTGAAAGTACTTAATGTTCTTGAACTGTGCACTTAAAATGGTTAAATGGTACATTTTATGTTATGTATATTTTGCCACAAAAACCCACTTATACAATATAAGGTGACATTATTCCTGATATTTTCTTACCTCTCCCCCTCATACACCCACCCCTACTGCTGTGCATATTCCAGATTTCAATAAACACTTGCTAAACCAATGCTGTCCTGACAGAACATACCCTCCTCTCCTCTTCCTCCCCTGCCCATCTGTAGACATGTGTAGTTGGCCAACTTACCTGAATAGATCTTTTAAACCAAACCAGTCTAAATATTTTTAATGTGACAAAACATAAAAAGGGATGGAGAAAGCAAGGGAGAGAGAGACGGGTGTGCCTCGTGCATTCATGGATTTGTATTTATACTCCAATGATCTTGTTATTTTTAAAGTCTGCTAAAGCTGGTTCCACCTGCTGGTTTCTTTTGGTGCCCTAAATCTGTGTGTGCATTCTCCATATGCTTGGAGTCAGTGTACACGAGCTGTTTGTCCCCCAGCTGGCTTTACGCAGTGGAAGAGGCGCAAACAGAATCCGCAGGACATAGGACAGGGAGCCTGAAATCCCACACTGGGCAGCACTCGGTGTGTGCAGGAGCTGAGGGAAGCAATAAGACCTAATAACCTCACCCGTTCTCCTAATTGCTTTCTTCTCCTCACAAAAGAGCCACACCAGCAGCTCTGGTGGCCCTCAGGGAAATCTCTGCTTGTTATGAGGCTGGTGGGCAATCCTTTCATCACTGTGAAATGCTGGCAGTTTGTATCAACAAATCCAATTTCAGTCAATCAATAGGCACCCTGCCTCCCAGCTCTGTCCCAGCTCGGCAGAGCTGCACAGCTGGCCTCCCCTCCCTCCCATCCGCTGCCCACACCCTGGAGCCCTGGCAGCAAGAGCAGCTGCTGCCCATGGGGTGGGAGAATGCCCAGGCAACCAGGTCAGACTGGATGTGGCAGACAGCAATTGACAAGGCTTGTTCCACCACCGGAGAGTCACAGCCCACTGGAAACACACTGTGTTGTACAGGGTAGAAGCACCAGCTTTGTGCAGATGGACATGGGTGCAGGTCTGATTCTGCCACTTTGGGCTGTATGGCCTTGAACTTCAAGGCAAGCTCTTCACCTCTTTGAACTCTAGCTTCCTTAGTTATAAAGCGGGGATGCTACTACTGCCTGCTACAGGATTGTTAGGAAAAGTGTTATAATGCATGCAAAGTGCTTTGTCCCGTCCCTGGCTCACAGTAAAGAAAGAGAGAGAGAGAGAGAGTGTCATTGTGATCTACCAAGTCTTACAAGCCAAACAGGGCAATAAATGGAAACTACTGCGGATTTTACAATCATCATTAGCATCGTCATCACTATTACTGCCATGTTGAGGGTTGCACAGAAAACAGCCTGGAACCAACCTATGTGGTTCTACCAAGGCAGGATGAGAATGTTCGGCCTCCAGTTCACGAAGGTTCACTAAGCAGAGATGTACGCTGGATGATCACCAACATTTGCAAAAAATAAATACTACAGTGTCTTCATCAGAGGGCTGCCATCGGCCTCAGGAGGTCATTCCCAGGTAGAAGTGCCTCAGGAGGTTTGTTCTGTTGCCTGGCCCAACATCCTATGGGGAAAGAGCCCAGTAGTGGCTCCCTGAGATTTCTGCATTCCCGGAAGCCAGAAAAAGCAAAGACCTCCCGGCAATTGAGCTCTCTTGCTTGTAGGGGAGATCACCGCTTCATAGATAGGTGGCTGTTTCCCTTTGGGTGATAGAGGTCCCTGCTGGACAACATAGAGTAAAACACAAATCTCTTTCTTGCCAGTAGCTGTCACACCTAATAGATTGGGATGAGATACCACTGCATTAGTGTGCGAATTTCCCCAGATGAAGGCAGCAGCAAAGCCCTTTAGAACAAGCCACAGAAGGACAGAAACAAACTAATCAAGGAATGCACAGCTTCACACAAGATCCAGGGGCTTCTGACACGGGAGGAACACAAAATTTTTAACTAACCAAGGATGCAAACATTCCCCCAGCAAGAAATGGTTAGAAGTACCTTGGAGTGCATTTTGTGGTTGCTGTTACTGCTGCTGCTGTTTTGTATAATTGGGAAGGGAAAGAGAATAATTAGAGGTGAGATTTTCAGACACAGAATGCCCTAGCATTTATTGACTTTCTACTCTGAGGCAGGCACTGTGAGAGGCCCTTCCACCTTTACTATTTCATTGCATTTGTCATAATAACCCTGCATGGCAGAAATATTTACCCTTTTTGTCCAATGTAGATGCTGAGGCCTAGATAGAACCCAAAAAGCTCTGGGACCTGGCATAAACCAGGTGCTCAGTAACGAGAGATTGGTAGAGACTTGCCCAGGGCTGCAAATCAAGAGGAGAGATTCAAATGCAGATCCTAAAACTCCAGACCACCCCTCTTTGCTCTCTCCCTATCTGCTTGCTCAGTGCAGGAGACTGGGAGGGCCCTGAGCCAGGATGGGTTTAGACTCATGGAAGAAAATTCCATGGGGGAGAAATGTTTTCTCACGAGAATCTGCTCTCAAATAGCAGCCACACTCCTCCGTACAGCCCAGAGACAGATCCTTCTAACATTCAAGCTAGTCCTAGGTCTTTGGGGGAGATATTCAAAGATTCTAAATTTAAAAAAAATTAGAAAGACCCCCAGAACAGCAGAATATGATTCATGTCTGTTATGAATTACAATTGGGTCTTTATTACAAGGGGGTCCTCAATGGTGCTCACATCCTTTCTGAAATTGATCTTATTGGGATAACAATGGCCAAAAAGGAAAACAAAAGCAACTAGTCATGCATGTTTGGAAGAGCTAGGACCGAGACACGCAAGTGTGGTGGGAAGGTTCACTGCTCTTGGAAATTTAATTGCTGGATGGAGACAGACATAGAAATCTGGATTCCAACCAGACTTGAGCTCCATGCTAGCATATCAAACTGCCTGCTGGAATCCTTATGCAGATGTCCCAAAGGCAAATAAAACTCAATATGCCTAAAAGCAAATGAATTGTTTGATGCTGCACCAGGCTCACCACCACAAAAGGAGAAATCAGCTGCATTCTCTACTTGAGTTGATGACACCAGCATCCCCCTAAGCCTCTCAAACGAGACACTTGGGATTCTCCCTCAGTTTTCCCTCTTCCTTATTCCTCCTGCCAATGTGCGGTTCAGTTCTCCTCTTCCCACCATCACTGTCCCTTTGTGTCTATCTTCTACCTGTCTTCATACATCAACCCTTAACCGGTCTCTCTGATTGCAATCTCACTCTCCTCTACCCATCACTGGTTTCAGAGATTTTTCTAAAATCCAAATTTGACTTTGGCACTCCCTGCTTACCACCTTCAATCACCCACTAGCATTGATGGTTTTAAAGCTCAAACTCTTTAGCAATTTATGACAACCACATAATTTTCAGAGAAGAATGCATTGTGCCTGCCTCCGAAGCACATGCAGTCTTGTTAAATAAGCACTGTTGTGATGGTTCATTTTACATGTCAACTTGGCAAGGTCATGTGTGTTCATTTGCTATGGCTGCCACACAAAATACCACAGACTGTTGGTGGCTTAAACAACAGAAATTTATTTTCTCACAGTCCTGGAGGCTGGAAATCCAAGACCACAGTGCTGGCAGCGTTGGTGTCTCCAAAGGCCTCTCTCCTGGGCTTGCCACCTTCTTGCTTCCCCTTCCATCACATGGTCATCCTTTTGTGCACATGCATCCCAGTGCCCCTCTGTGTGTCCTAATCTTCTTTTCTTATAAGGACACAAGTCAGCTTGGATTTGGGTCCACCCTAAAAGCCTCATTTTAACTTAATTCTTCTGTTGTTTTGTTTTGAGACACAGTCTCGCTCTGTCACCAGGCTGGAGTACAGTGGAGCGATCTCAGCTCACTGCAACCTTCACTTCCCCAGTTCAAGCGATTCTCCTACCTCAGCCTCCAAGTAGCTGGGATTACAGGCACGTGCCACCATGCCCGGCTATTTATCTTTTAGTAGAGATATCTTTTTTGTATCTTTTAGTATCTTTTAGTAGAGATGGGGTTTCACCATGTTGGCCAGGATGGTCTCAATCTCTTGACCTCGTGATCTGCCTGCCTCAGCCTCCCAAAGTGCTGGGATTACAGGCGTGAGCCACCGCACCCAGGCCACTTAATTCCTGTTTTACAACCCTGTCTCCAAATGCAGTCATATTCTGAGTTATCAGGGGTTCAGGCTTCAACACGTGAATTTGGGGGAGACAAAACTTAGTCCATAACAGCCATGGCAACCAGATTTTGCTCAATCACTAATCTGGATGTTGCTGTGAAGATTTTTTTTTTACGTGATTAACATTTAAATCAGTAAACTTCGAGTAAAGCAGGTGACCCTTCATAATGTGGGTGGGCCTCATTCAATCAGTAAAAGGCTGTAAGAGAAAAGATTGAGGTCCCCTGAAGAAGTGGGAATTCTGCCCCGAAATTGCCTTCAGACTTGAGCTGCAACATCAGCTCTTCTCTGGGTCTGCAGATTTTGAACTTGCCAGTCCCACAATCACATGAGCCACTTTCTTAACTCTCTCTCTCTGTGTGTGTGTGTGTGTGTGTGTGTGTATACATAGCATATACATAACATATATACATACGTAAACATATGTATTTCCTATTGGTCCTGCTTCTTTGGATAGCCTTGACTAACAGAACCATCAGACCCAGGCTACTCCATCCTGCGGCTCCACAATCCATAACGTGTTACCTCTGGGTCAGAGCTGGCCGCTTGAGCACCAGACATGGCGGCTCCATTCCAGACAGCTGGAGAGAGGAAGGGACCTAAAAAGACATATTCCTTTATTTTAGGGACACTTCCTGGAAGTAGAACATGACCAGTCCATTGGCCTGAACTTACTCACATCTAGTTGCAAGGGAATTGGGAACATAGTTTTGATTCCAGAAGCCATGCGCCTAGCTAAAAATCAGGAGGTTTTATATCATGGTAGAAAGGGGGAACGGACATGGCGCTGCACCAGGAGACAGTATCTGCTACAAATACCAAACGAAGGGCGCTGGCAATGAGCATTTTAGAAGTTAAGGGCTGGGTCCGGCAGAGAGGGCTGCACAGTGCAAGGGGACCGGGGCTGACTTTGAAGGAAGGGCTACTCCGCTCAAGTACAAGAACACGTGAGCACCCTTGCCCCAGAGTGAGCATCAACACCGTGATCACGGTTATTACCTGGGAGGTCTCCTGCCCAGGATCCAGGCGGTGAGGCTGCCCTGGAGGCAGGCTCGCTCCGCCACAGGCGCGCGGGCAGCAGCGGCCAAGCCGAGGATGGCAGGGCCTGCGGGTGACCAGGCCTCCGGCCAAGGGCACGCGACCCCCAGCGCTTCCCAGGTGCTCCCCTGAAGCCCGGGACGCGTGGGCACCGGCGCGGGGCGGTGCCGGGGAAACGCAGCCATCGCCTCAGGGCACGCCAGCCAATGGGCGGCCTCACCGATGCGGTAATGCCCCAACGCGGCGTTTCATTGGCCAGCTCTCTTTCAGGCTCCAACTATTTATTAGATTTTTTTTTTTTTTTAAGAAATTGCAAATAGGCCTAAACAAAATCCAGAGGAGAGGGAAGGGATGCCTGAGCACAGATGGGTGGGAGAACACGCCCCGAGGTGCAGCGTTGGCACGAGAAGCCCTGTCTGCGAGCCCCGAGGAGGAGATGCCTCCCCAAGCCCTGTGCAGACAGAAGAGTCCGCCCCTCCCTCTCCCGCACCTGCTGAACTTTGGGGTCAGCAGAGGAATGTCCCCCGCTGTTAATGTTTTGTTTTCACTGTTTTACAATTCACATTTCGTGCTGCAGGGTCGCTCAGAGCCCTAACACACCAGAGCGTACTGTGAAGCTACAACAGGGACAGATAGGTTTGTAGGAAGCGGCATTTCCCAAAAGCCAACCTCTGAACCTTTCATTCCCAGAGCACATCACAGGTCCAGCGTTCCACAGAACACACCCTAGAAAATGCTCCTGTGGAGGACCCGTCCCGCCAGGATCCCCAGCTGGTCAGGAATGCTCCGGGGGCCTCCTCGCTCGGGCTGTTCTCCTTCCCACACGTTCACCTGGGGGAACAGGCTCTGGTTTGTTAGAAAACTGTGACATAGCAAGGTAGGAGCAGCAGCCCCTTGTCACCTTAGGCTCCAACTGAGGGTGGGAGGTGGGAGGTGGGGTTGGGCGGTTTGGGGATGGGAAACCTGGCTCTGCCTTCCTTCTTCCCGTTTGCACCACGGAGCTGGATCCCAGGTGGCCAGATCCCTTCCAACCCACAATGATTGAGGACCTTCTCAGCGCTGGCTCCTTAGGTGCTGGAGACAGATTCTGCCCTGAAGGTACTCCCTGGGAGGACTAAGAAACAGATAAATAAGCAGGTCATTGCAATACAGTGTGCTGGGTACAACAGTCGAGGTAATGTCAGATATGAGAATGAACTCGAAAGAAGGGAATGATCTTGTCTGGGGGAGGTGGGCAAGCAGGAGGAGCTGTGGCAGAAGGGGATCAGAGAGGATAAAGACAAAGGTCTGTGTTCGAGATTGTCAAATGAAAGCCACGCACCAGTCCAGGGGCTTCAGAAATGTTCTCATCTCAGGGAATCAGGTCTGGAATCTGGGAATGAGGCTCTTGTTCTCCTGGGACAAGAGCGAGCCTGGGAGTAAAATGAATCCCCAGTGCTTCTGGAGAAGCTTGGGAATTCTGGGCTGGTGCAGGCCCTCCCTGGTATTAATACTGCAGCTCCCAGATTCTGCTTGAAACCACAGAGAAAGCTTTGGTCAGAGGCCAGCAAGCCCCTCAGCCCCAAGCAGAGGTAGGCAAGACGCATGGTGGTGGCCCAGGAGCCTGGGGTGTCAGTGGTGCGACAGTGTCTTTGCAGTGGTGGCACAGGGCTGAAGTGGTAAGAGGCTGGGAAGAAGATGCAGCAGACAAGGTGAACGAGGATGAGGAAGGAGGAAAAGAGAGAGAAGGAGAGGACAGTTTGCTGCAGTCCCAGTGCCCTGGGGATCAGTAACTTTGCATCCTGGCCCTAGCCCCACTTATTACTGCCTGTGTGACCTTGGGCCAGCTCCCTTAGCTATCAAATGAGGTGCGGGGAGAAGCTGTGATCTCTACAGCCCCCTCCTCCTCAAGTGGCATGAGCATTCTCTTTTCTGGAAGGTCCCTTACCAACTGCAGCAGCTACCACTGTGAAGAGCAATGGGCAGGTGGGTGCAGATGGCAGTGCTACTGATGGGAGGGTGGGGGTGCTGGCACCCCAGGATAACTCAAAAGTGGTGCAGGCTGAAGCCCTCCCTCCCTCCTTCCTTCCACCTCCTGCCTGCTGAGCCCCCCAGGACCCAGCAGCTAATGTAATCTCCTCGAATGCCCCATAATGGCCCTGCAGCAGTTTCTGCAGGCTCCTCCTCTCTCTGCTGGCAGCAGGCTGCGAGTTCAGAGGAGAATGAGCTCCCTGCTCTCGGGAAGGTGAAGTTGGGCTCCTGAGTCAGCCTAGGACAGCGGCAGGACTGCAGCTCCCTCTGGACAAGGGGCATGTGCAGCAGACCCCACCAGGTACCTTTCCCCACAGAACCTACACAGAAGCACAAGGCCCTTTGCTCCTGATTTGATAAGGGTGTCCTCTCTCGTGGTTGTTTTCGAACTGTGTTGAGCTAAGAACCCTTTCTTTAAATGAAAGGTGTTATGGAAGCCTCAACAACACAGTATTCAATAATGATTTCTTGAAATAAGTGTGTGTCAAGTGCAGTGTTGAGAACTGGGTACACGGTGGTGGCCCAAACAGACTTGATCTCTGCCTTCACAGAGCTTGGTTTAGTAGGCAAATCCAGCCATAAATGAGTAAATATTTACTAACTCTTCATTGTGATCAGTGTCATGAAGGAAAAAAAATGTGGTGTGGCCTTTAGGTTGCATTGTTAGGAACGATTTCCAGGTCAGGAAGGGATGCTTCTGCATCCAGCAGTACCTGTCAGTGTGAAATCTGGGGCCAGGACCAGGTCAGAGCTTTGGATGGCAGATGACACCCAGGAGGAAGAGGCAGCCTCTACACGCAGGTGGGACAGTGAGCCCCTGCCTGGTGGTCTGTACTGGCCTTCCCCACAATGCAAGCCAAGGCATCACCTCCCACTCACATCCCAAGAGACCTGCAGGAAACCAGGCTGCATTTCAACAACAAGCAGGAAGCACAGAGCTTTACACACAATCTAAGTACATCAACTATTTGAAGATGCTAAACTCCATACAAGAACATCACCAAACTCCACAAAAGAAAAAGCTGATAACTGAGGAAACTGAGCTAATAGTCTAATCAGAACAGAAACTTAAAATCTGTATACTTAGTATTTTGGAGAGATGTGGGTGGGTATCTATATATCAAATGAGAGAAGATCATTAGAAATCAACAGCTGGTAATTATGAAAAGAAACAGTGAAATTCCCAGGAGTGAAAAATATCAATATTCAAAAATCTTTCTGGCTGTAGTGAGGAAAATGAAATTTGCAAGGAGGTAAGACAAATTTTAGCCAGGTAAGAGATGATCGTGGCTTTGGCTAGGGTGGAGGCAGAGGGAAGGGAGAAGAGTAGATGGATTCAAAATACAATTTGAACGAAAAGTCAGCAGGACTTGCTGACCTCTTCAGCATCTGAGTATGAGGATCTTCAGCATCTGAGTATGAGGATGAGGGAGAGGGAGCCCTCAGGGATGATGTCTGGAATGAACACAGAGCTGCCACAGTTAAAGATGCTCAGGGATTATAATGCAGGGCCCCTTGCAGAGACTGCGAAGGCCTCTTTACCCTTCTTCCTGCATCAAAACGAGGTAGCCCTGCCATCATACAATCCTCAAACTGCACCCTTAATCTTCCTCCTCTTCCTATCCTTACCAGACAACCAGAGGGCTTGAAAGCAAGAGCCAAGCTGCATCCAGCACTGAAGGACCACCCTATTTATTCCTCCCTGATGTCTTCAGGGAAAGTCTGGCTGGTGAGGGAGGGAAATGTGACTATTACAGGTTGGGTTCCCTTGAAAGCAGACCATAAGATGCAGTTTTTTGTGCAGAATGCCGATTAAGGGGTCAACACCTGTGTAAGGAGGAGGAAGAAGTATGCAGAAACAGAAATTAAGCCAAGGTCAAAGACAGCCTTGGTCCAGGGCTTGGGAGATCAAATGGCCCTTCAGAGTTGTTTTAAGGTGGTCTGAGATGGCCAGATCTTTATGGGTCCATATCAATCAGTTATTAGATTTGGGCCCCATGGGCAGGGGTGTGACATCAGTAAGGCTGCTCCCTGCAGCCCAGGCAACCTCTGTGTGCTAGCAGCACTCTGCACCACTGGGACTGCAAGTCCTTATTGAGGGGGATCTAGTTAGCACTTTACAGTGTTCACCATAGGGCCCGATGCCAAAGTAGCCTCTCAAGTGGCTTGAGGTACAGCCTTGTACATACCACGTTGTACCTTCTATGTACCTCCTCTGAGGTCATTCCTGAACATTATCTCCAACTTTGGGGGAAATCAGAAGTTCAGAAGCAAGGACAGACCTAATTAAAACTAAAGAGACCATATATTAAGGTAGAAGAGTAAGGAATGGCTTTATATTAATGTCAGCATAAAGCTGAAAACACCTCACCTGTGGCAGACTGCATCATCTAAGAAGAATGTCTGGAAATTCATATTCTGCAGTTCAGATTCTACCCATTCACAACATAAATATCCTGTTGAGAAAAGCAAGTCTCACTCAGACGATAAATATAACCCTCTCTGCTGCTTTCATTTCAGTTTTGAGATGACCTGGCTGGCAGTGGGCTGAGCCAGTCTCTCAGAACCCTTTGAAGCACTGGATGCAGGCTGATGGGCTGCCATAAACGTCTTTGAGTCCCCACACTGCTCAGGGACTGCATATCATACCAAAGTCTGCCTGTGTGATCTTTTAATTTGTGAATGTGAAAACTGAGGTGGGAGGCAAATACTGATGTTCTCAAAGACCCGTCTTAGCTATTCCATTCAAATGGGGCCCAGAATCTTCAAAATTCTGCTTCTTCAGCTTACTTCCTGTCTCAGGCTGTTTCCCCAGAAGCATCCCAGAGATGAGGATTTGTGAGAAAGTGATGTATTTGGCAGTGTCCCCTGCAGGGAAGTGAGGATGCAAGATAGTGAGGAGGAAGCCAAGCAAGGGTGCAATGTCAAGCAAGGTCCCATGCATGCAGGGTGCCTGGCTTCTCCCACAGAGGAGGATTGGAGACCGAGAGCCCTTCCCTCCATTGGTCAAGGGCCATCTCAGAGGGATGCATGTTTCTAGGTACCCCCCACTCTCTCTGTACACAGGCGAAGCAGACTCCAGAAGCATGACGGCAGCCCTCTCACAAAGAAGCATGGGTTCTGGATACCGGGAGTAAAAGCAAACTCGGAGCCAAGGGGCATGAAAATGGGAAAGGGACCCAAGGAAATAGAGTAGCGCATCCACCATGAGTAAGACCCACAATCACTGAGTCAGCACCTGCTGTGTCTAACACCGTGCTAAGTATTATGGAGAGAAGTTGCTAGACTTCCCTGCTGTCATCCTTGATGGACTATTTTCTCTTCCATAGACACCTCAAACTGGGATTTAAGGTACATAAGCTCCCAGAAATGGCTTCCTGGAATTATGGCTATGAACATCAATGAACTGTTAGGGCCCATAGTTACATCTGAAAAATGGCTGCCATTTCAATACACGGTATTGGTTACAATGAAAGCAACAGCCAAAATAATAATGTGGCAGAGACTAGCTTGATGCTCATCACATCTCTACCTGGGCACACAGCAAATTTTTTTATTCCAGTTCCCACCCTGGATCTCCGGTCCTAGTTCTCAACAATGAAATGCTTCCAAGCCAAGTTAAGCAGCCACAACTTTCCAACAAAAACTTAAAGATCCTGTGTTGAAGACAGTGGCACCTTAAAATGCAAGGGCAGTATCCTTGAGTCCTCAGGTCACCAGAAAGCCACCCGATCAGGACCACTGACACTAGACTCTGTGTTAGTGAGAACCAAACTTGGGTCAAGCCATCTTGATTTTAAAGTTGTTAGCAGTTAGCTTGCTCCAATAGGATGAACATGAATAAACGCAGTGGTAACAACCTGCTGGGTAGTATCATTATTCCCACTTTGTTGTGAGGAACTTGAGGCTCAAAATGGTCAGAAAGCTAGCAGATGGCAGAGCTGGTATTTAAAGTCTATTTTTTAATCCCTATCCTGCACTCCTTGGTCATGTAAACCTTGTGTGAATATGTTTGATGCTTTAATGGAGCAAAGAGGAGAATATTAAAATATTGGGTTCATTGGGTAGGATATGGAGTGAGGAGGAAGAACACAAAATGGAAAGGCTCCACATGTCAGAAGCCAAGCTTTGGGCACGCCACAATTTTGCTAAAGACTTCCCTGCCTGCTCACATCTGGTCTGTTCCCCAGTATCCTCACTGTATTAAAGTTGTTTCTTTGTCATATTTTGCTCATTTTTCTGGTGTGATTCCATCAACTACTTGCTACCAAGGAGAAGAAATGAGATGATCAAAGGGGTATCCCCCAAATCCCCAAGGCTGTGCCCCTCAAGTTCAAGAAGAGAAATCAGAGAACTCTTGTTTAACATGGATGTGTTAGTTGCCATCCCCTCTCCCATCCCTCCATTTCCTTGTTAATAGAACCCTGATTTTGTTCATCTTATTCCAAGTTACCAAGTCCTTTGGGGAAGGCTAGGCTGCCCCCTTACACAGGACTGAGAGTTCATGGTTGAAGCTGGATAGGACAGAGTGATTTCCCCTGCCAAACAATTGGTTCAGGCATGAGATGCAATTTGGGCCAATGGAGCTAAAAGTGAAATCTGCTGATGGGGCTTCTGGGAAGGTTTTTCTTGAAAAACAACAACAACAACAAAAGCAAAACAAAACAAAAGCCACAAGATAAGAATGTTTGCTTTTCTGCCTTTGGACTTGGGCTCTGTGTGTTGTTCCTGAAACCAAAGCATCTTGGGTCCATTAAGAGAGCAGCCTATGAGGATAAACCAGAACACCAGGGATGGCAGAGTAGAAAAATAGAAATAACCTGGATCTTTAAGACACCGGCGGGCTGGTGAATTAATCAACCCTGGAACAGCCATTCCCCTGGACTTCTTATTATGTGAGATAACAAACCATCTAATTGTTCCAATTATGATGAATTAGGGTTTCTGTTACTTGCAGCCCAATGCATTCCAAATGACTCAACTGATATTTGGTTCCATATTCTTTGAGAAGAGCAGAGAAAGAGTTTCTGACTACCACAACCCCTTTCTTAGTGGCTCAGTCAGCTTTCTAAGTAGATTCTTAGCTTATACCCACCACTGATTTGTAATTACCTCTTTCCCACTTCTCTTACTCACGATTCCACTAATCTTAAACCCCACATGTTACAGAGAGTCTGCTGAATTCCAGCATAACAAATTCTTGCATTTACCCTCCTCCCTTCATTGGCCATCCGCCTATTCTCATGGTTGTAAACAGGAGAAAGATGTCCTGACAGTGCTTAGTCAAGGGATGGCAAATGTTTTCTGGGGTTTCCATATGTGAGTAATTGAAAAGGAAAAGGGGGAAAAGCCTCATTTTTACTAACACTAATTAATTCACACAAGGACACATTTTACATCATTTTAATTAACTTTCATTGAATTCATGTTCAAAATGGGAGGCAAAAAAAATGTTCATTAATATAAGTCATGAGGACGCTAGGAATTACAGAAAATTGGAAATTTTTTCCTTCTCCTCGGATGCATGGTGGGATTTGTGAATTCCTAACTTTTCTCCCACATATCCCCTTCACGGATGATAGGAAGAAATAGACTTTAAGGCATTAACTCTTTCTGGAAGCCTTTCCCAAGACTTCTAACCCCTGCCTGTCTTCCTCCTCAGCCACCAGTTAGGTCCCCCATACCTGTTAAAGCCCTGAAAACTTCCATCTCACAGCCACTACATTATCTTGAAATTAACTGTTTACTTCTTCATTTCCCCACAATACTGTGAGCTCCCTGAGGGGAAGACCTTGTGCTGTTTATTTATCTTCTAGCATGATACCTGGCATATATTAGGTGCTTACGTTTATTGAATGAATGAAAGCCAAGAAAACTTTTCCTTGGTTTCATTTTAATTTCACTAAGGATGATTATGTTTATATTGCTATATTACATTGTGTAAAATGGTAATTAAAAGGGGAAATTCCTTTGATAGTAGCACCAAAGGGCTGCATATGGCAGGGTAGATAGCAGAACACAGTTGGTGGCTGGGCCACTCTCTGAAATGTGGACTTAGGATTTGAGGGCTAGTCCTTGTGCCTCACACCTAGGATAACAGAGGAGTCTTAAAGTATGCCTGGTAGCACATCTACACTCTTCTGGGTGGCTTCCAGAGATACTTTTGTTCCATGTTTTGGCTTTTACGGCTGTCCCCAAATTTAGCAAAGGCATTTTTCTTAGCTGAGCTAACAATGATTCTCTAGATACTTGCCTATCTAACGTGTAAATCCCCCGCCACTCATTTGTTATTTCTCAGCAGTCCCCTGTCAGATGAAATTTCATCCCACTAAGGCTTGTTGAGCACATTGATGTGCCCAGTTATGAAACAAGCCCAACTGCAGAACTGTAAGTCCTTTTCTGGTTGACCCATTTATCTCTTTCCTCGTTGTCCACCAGCCACTTAATTCACTGTCGTCCTTGTTCCAACACACCATGTGGAATGACCTTGCCCACCCCCATTTGCCACACCAGCATGAAATAAACAGGAGGAAAAAGCAGTAGTCTTCTCATCTTTCGAGAGGAAGCTTTGTATCTGGGAACATTTGAGGCTGATTTTCCCCATGCTTAGATTTACCTCACTGTTGAAATTTGTAAGTATGTATACAGTGACCTGCTTCTAAGAAAACTCAGTATTCAGATTTCTAAATGTAGACCCAAATGTTATTCATACCAGAAAAAGTTCCCCAATTTCAAAGAAATTGTCCTCCTAGAACTCTTACAAATCAACAAGAATAAGATTGATATCCAAATAGAAAAATGCACAAAATATTTGGATAGGCATTTTCTTTACAAGGTTAGGGGATCTAACCTCTAAATGGCCAATAAACATAGAATATGTTACATTTCATTATTCATCAGGAAAATGCAAGTTAAAGCCATAATCTAATACCAGTAGACCCCCACCATAATAGTTAAAACGGAAAACCGAAAATAGTAAGTGTTGTCAAGGATGTGGAGCAACTGGAATTCCTATACACTGCTGTCAAGATGCTGAATTGGTACAACTACTGTAGAAACCTATTTGACAATATCTGTACAACTGAGTATGCACATAACCTTGACTCAAAGACTCCACTCTTAGGCATATGCCTAACAGAAATGCACATATGCATTCACCAAAACACATGTACTAGGATATGCATAGCAGCACCATTTGTTATAGGATAAAACTGGTAGTTCTATGAATGCTAATTAACAGTAGGATGGATATCAAGAAATGGTGATATAGTCACACAGTGGAATATTTTACAGCAATGAACACAAATTTACAACTACATAGAAAAACATGAATGCAATTTACAAACACAAAGTTAAGGCAAAGAAGATAGACACAAAAGAGTATAAACTATATGAATCCTTTTAAACAAAGTAAAACCTGGCAAAATTAATCTATGTTCTTAGAAGCCATGATGGTGGTTATCCTGAGGGGGTAAATGACTGGAGGAAATGTAGGAGTTTAGATAATGTTCTGCTTGTTGATCTAAACTGGCTACATAGGTATGTTCAGTTGGTGCACTTTTGGGCAGGTGCATTATAGATCAACAAAAAGCATTTTTTAAAGAAAATATTTAATTCAATTTACAAAATGCCCATGCCATGTGGAACTTTCTAGAAACATATTTGCTGTCCAGAGTGAAATGTAGCACCTGTGTTCAAATGGATTGGGTATTATCCCTCCCACTATTTTCACTATTCTGGAAGGACAGGGACTTGAGTTATGTGTTAGAGAACAATTTGTATATTCATGACATTGGATCCTGCATTTTGGAGTGTTATTTCTAATTGCTCCATGACCACACACCCAAATTGAGAACCAGAGGACAGGGAACATTTTACATTTTCCTACATCTCCAAGCTACCCCTTTCTCAATGGCCAACTGACCAAAGGATTCTTCACAGGAACACAGCGCTGGGCTGGAGAGAAGGATTCCTTACTCCTCTAACTCAGTCATGGAAAAAGCTCTGAGGCAGGTTCCCTGTCTCTTATAAAGAGAGCATTTATTACATCCTGGGAGCTCATGGGAAGCATCTCAGTTCACCGCCACACACTCTGTAACCTAGGCCCATTTTACTGAGGAGAAAACTGGGAGGCATTCCCCAAAAGGCCACATCCCTGGGAAGTGTTGAGTCGGCACCAGGAGCCAGCCAGCCTCCACTGGCACACATACTGCCCAGCATTTCCTGGAGAAGTCCTCCCCTGAGATATTAGTGTTCATAAGTGGCTACCTTTCTTCTGAAAGTAACCACCTGGGCTGCGGCTATCCTTGGCCAGCCACCAATGGGTAGCTGTGATGCCCCCTCCTCCATCTTACAGCCTGAGACAATCTATCAGGACTCACTTGCTGGTGGTGCTGGCTCTCCCTGGATCCCAGTGGAGCTCAAGACAGCCTCACCGGACTCTGAATCTGCCTGCTCTTTCTCTGCCAGGAAAGAAGGGAAGCCCCTGGAGCTTTGCTGGCTTTTCTGTGCCAGGTGGAGCCCAGAAGCCGCCCTGATCAGCATCTGTGAGGATCTGTTCAGGGCGTGCAGCCCCTGCAGACACTCTCAGGGCTGCCCTGGTTAAAGACGATGGCTGGCCTCCTGAATTTCCCCCAGGCAGCCTGATTGCAGGCTCCACATCACAGCCCAGCTGGTCACAGCTCTCCGTCTATTGATCACACCCGCTTAGCACTGCAGACATAATGCTGCTCAGTCATGTTCTGGGAAAGCCACAGTGCTACCCGGGGATGTGATTACAGCTCAGCTTGGTGAAATGAGTGGCTGGCCTCAAGCTCAGCCCAGCAGCCTTGTTTCTTCCAGGCCTGCTCAGCCCCACACCAAGGGGTAGCAAGCTTGTCCCATGCCCAGTGCTCTGCTGTTGTCATGGAAACCAGTAAGGACAGCCTCACAGGTGGTGTCTAAACTGGCATGTCGTAGGTGAGGGTGGGAAGAACATGAGTCACTGTGCCTAGGGTCCCCAGTCCCCAGACCCCAATGTGTAGCCAACCTCCAGTGACAAATTTCTACACTATCTGCTTCCCTGGGCGTGGGGAAGAGAAACTGCTGCATGATCTCGGCAAGAGTCGCAGAGTTTCAATTTGGCTAGAACCTTCCAGGTCATCTGGTTGGTGTCCATTTATCAATGAGGAAACAAGCCCAGAGAAGTTAAGTGACTTATCCAAGGTCACACAGCTGTGTAAGTAGAAGTATGAAGGGAATCCAGGCTTCCTAATTCAACAACCCCCACCTTGATTTCAGGTTTCTTTGAAATCAAGGAATCCCTCTAAGCCCTGGATGGATGACTACAGGTTGTGGTTTCAAGAGTGTCTGCTGATCTGTTTCCACGGGGAAGGCTGAAGAGATCTATGAAAGGACCCTTCAAGGATGATGAATTCTAAAGGATAGAACACCCTAGTTGCTGGCAAGTGATTTGCAGAAAAGTAGACAGAAACTCAGCTTCTGTTTGGGCAGCAGTAGCCGGGAGGCAAGGGGACACTTTTCTAGTAGTGTCCTGAAGAGCTGCGCTGGTTGGTGGCTGACTACCACCGGGTATCAGGACGCCCAAGGTCCTTCCGGGGGAGAGGCAGAAATTGCTGGCTTCTCCTGGCATCTCTGACAGCAGCAGTGGTGTTCAGCTCATCTTCCTGCTTTGCTCAATGTATCATTGGAACCTGAGTAAATCTGTCGTCTCTCCTGGAAGCTTGGCATGTGGAACAACTGAGGCCGTGACAGCAGGCGTCACATCGGTAAGGAGCCACAGTGCAGCCTCTGTGGACACTTGTGGTATTCAGAGTGGTCACAGCAGGGTCACACGCTGGCTCATGTCCTTCTGGAGCTGGAATCCCATGTAATTCCCTCCGGTCTTCCCATGAGCCCCAAGCAGGGCCCACGTACCTGCTCCCCTCAGCTGTCATCTTCACTCTATTTTCTAGTCCCTTCACTGTGAAGATTCTCTTCAGGTCAGAGCCCAGGTTTCTCTTCAGCCACAGTGTCCGGCTAGTCCTAAAGCACATGGCACCTTTGTGTCTGCGGAGGCAGGTTGGGTGGGAGGAGGAGCGTCGTCTGAGGCTGGAGCAGGAAACAAAGGAACTCTGGGGAAAGCATGTGGTTGGATATCCTTAGGCTCAGCAAGTCTCCATTCGCTCTTCAGGGTTGTCCTTGCCTTTCTGCATCTCGAGTAAAGCCCAGGTCCTTACCTTTCCGCCCTCACCTGCCTCACCTGCCCTCATTCAGTTTCACCTGACCTCACCTGCTTCACCTGCTCTCAGCCAGTCTCGTTTGTCCTCACCTGCCTCACCTGCCCCACCTGCCTTCACCTCGCCTCACCTGCCCTCACCCAGTCTCACCTAGCCTCATATGCCCTCAGCTGCCCTCACCTAGCCTCATCTGCTCTCACCTGCCCTCACCCAGTCTCATTGCCGTCACCTGCCCCCACCTAGTCTCACCTAACCTCATCTGCCCTCACCTGTCTCACCTGTCCTCACCTGGTCTCACCTAGCCTCATCTGTCCTCACCTGCCCTCACCTAGTCTTACCTGCCTCATCTGCCCTTACCTGCCTCACTTGCCCAGGGAGTTCCCAATCAATATCCAATCCCCCAGGTAGGAGCCTGCATTATGCCCCAATTTTCCCTCCTCACCCTCCCCGCCCCATCCTCATTCTCCAGGCATGTGCCCACTCTTGCGGACTTGTGAGGTAATTGGCTGGGTACATGGACCAGTACTCAATACCATATACAGGTAAGAGCAGTGGCCGGTGACTTTGACAGTGTGCCCATTCCCAGCACCTTCCAAAAGTGTCCATCCATCAGTGTTCCAACTCCTGGCCAGGCTCCTTGCCCCTGTGGACCCATTTCCATATGAGAGCTCTAGATCTTTTTCAAAAAGAAAATCCGTGCCCCCACCCCACCCCAAAGACAGTGCTATGACTTTTAGAAGAAAATATTCTATTTGTGAGAGAGAGGCCAGGCTCTGAAGCCTGAACAGATCTGAGCCCTGGCTTTGCCTGCCCCTCACTGCCTGTCCTCTAACCCTTGGTTTTCTCATCTGTGTTATGGGGGTGAACATGATGTCAACCTCACGGTTTGTGTGAAGGACTAAGTGAAATCATACCTAGGAAGCAGTGGCCCTGAGCTACCCCGATAAATGGAACCAAATGTTTGCCTCTCGTCAAACCTGCGAGCAGGTGGGGCATGTTCTATCATCAAAGGGGTAAGATGTGCAAATGGAAGCCCAAGGAGTGGCCTATCTGGAGGCAGAGGGAGCTCAGGCCACACCAAGAAAGGAACGAGGACGCCTCCAGTCCCACCTCCTCAGCGTCCCCGTTTCTATTCTGTCAGCCTCGGTTCTTCTTTGGTAGGTTTGGAAGATGCAGAGAGGGAGGAGTTATCTTTATGGCTCACATAGACCTGGCTGCATGCACAAATCCCAGAATAAAATCATTCCTCAGAGTTTGCCCTAGCCATCATTTTCTAGGTGAAGAAGTTAGGCCCAGAGAGGTTAAGTGACATGCCTGGGGTCACACAGGGGCATAACAACCTGTTCCCTCCATGCCCACCTCTGTGCCTGAGATGCTGTCGCTTTTTTGATTCAGAGACCTTTGCTCTAGGTTGTTCTTGGTTCACTCTTTGCAGAATCCTGGAATCAGGGGAGCTCTGGGACCTTGTAGTCCAAGCCCCTCTGGAGTCCCACCTGATCCAAGCTTCTTCTGCCTTCTCCCGCTTTCTCCCGAGTAGATGGCTTTGCCTGGCCCAGCCTTGTCCCTGTTTTCCACAGCTCTGCTTGTCCAGTGACTGTCCTTTTCCTCAAGCCTAAAAGGGTCTCTCTGTCAATTCCACCCAGTAGCACTGAGGCTTGGAAGAGGCTCCAGAGAGGGCTATGGTCAGAGCAGGTGGGACCAGGGTTTAGCTCATCCTGGATGCACGCAGCCCAGCAAGGGAATATCCAGACCTTGGGGACTACGTGTCCAAGAAGTTCCTACTGCAGCATAGCAAAGCCAACCTTCCCAAGTGGCCCCAGTGGCCCAGAATCACAGCCAACCAACGCCTCCCCTGACAACGGTGTCAACTGTGCTGACTTCACACCCAAACTCTAGCTCTAGAGTTTCCAAGGCAGGACAGAGTGTGCTAGCCTCCGGCTGGAGTCCATGTCGCAGGTATCCGATTGTGTCTCTATTAAATCCAGCCTGGAGCACTCATCCTGTGTCCCAGCCCTAGAGGGGAGGACGGCAGCAAATTCCGAGAGGATTTTCCTCACCATAGTTTACAGGAGAATAGACATTCAAGGCTGCTCAAGGAGAGGTGGCTGCTGTTGTTGTTGTTTTTTGTTGTTTTGTTTTGTTTTGAGACAAGAGCCTTATTCTGTTTGTCCAGGCTGGAGTGCAATGGCGTGATCTCAGCTCACTGCAACCTCTGCCTCCCGGGTTCAAGCAATTCTCCTGCCTCAGCCTCCTGAGTAGCTGGGATCACAGGCACCCGCCACCAACCCTGGCTAATTTTTGTATTTTAGTAGAGATGGGGTTTCACCATGTTGGCCAGGCTGGTCTCGAACTCCTGACCTCAAGTGATCCACCTGCCTCAGCCTCCCAAAGTGTTGGGATTACAGGTGTGAACCACCACACCTGGCTGCCTGCTGTTGTTTGACAAAGTTGGGTATTCTTAGGGATCCAACTCTAGTTTTTAGGAAACCAACACAAATATTTATTTTTCACAACAACCAACAATTATTTCTTTTATAAATTCACATTCACAACCATTTTCCCACTCTAAAATTGGCACAAATTTGAAAAGCATAATATATAAAGCTGGTGAGGATATCGTGAGATAAACACTCTCATTCACTGATGCTGTGAGTTTAAATGAGAACAAGCTTTTTTAAAAGCAATGGCAAGCTCTCCCTCTCCCTCTCCCTCTCCCTCTCCCTCTCCCTCTCCCCACGGTCTCCCTCTCCCTCTCTTTCCACGGTCTCCCTCTGATGCCGAGCCGAAGCTGGACTGTACTGCTGCCATCTCGGCTCACTGCAACCTCCCTGCCTTATTCTCCTGCCTCAGCCTGCCAAGTGCCTGCGATTGCGGGCGAGCGCCGCCACGCCTGACTGGTTTTCGTATTTTTTTGGTGGAGACGGGGTTTCGCTGTGTTGGCGGGGCTGGTCTGCAGCTCCTAACTGCGAGTGATCTGCCAGCCTCGGCCTCCCGGGGTGCCGGGATGGCAGATGGAGTCGCGTTCACTCAGTGCTCAATGCTGCCCAGGCTGGAGTGCAGTGGCGTGATCTCGGCTCGCTACAACCTCCACCTCCCAGCCGCCTGCCTTGGCCCCCCAAAGTGCGGAGAGTGCAGCCTCTGCCCGGCCGCCACCCCGTCTGGGAAGTGAGGAGCGTCTCTGCCTGGCCGCCCATCGTCTGGGATGTGAGGAGCCCCTCTGCCTGGCTGCCCAGTCTGGAAAGTGAGGAGCGTCTCTGCCCGGCCGCCATCCCATCTGGGAAGTGAGGAGTGTCTCTGCCCGGCCGCCCATCATCTGGGATGTGGGGAGCGCCTCTGCCCCGCCGCCCCGTCTGGGATGTGAGGAGCGCCTCTGCCCCGCCGCCCCGTCTGGGATGTGAGGAGCGTCTCTGCCCGGCCGCCCCGTCTGAGAAGTGAGGAGACCCTCTGCCTGGCAACCGCCCCGTCTGAGAAGTGGGGAGCGTCTCCGCCCGGCAGCCGCCCCGTCCGGGAGGGAGGTGGGGTGGTCAGCCCCCCGCCCGGCCAGCCGCCCCGTCCGGGAGGTGAGGGGCGCCTCTGCCCGGCCGCCCCTACTGGGAAGTGAGGAGCCCCTCTGCCCAGCCAGCCGCCCCGTCCGGGAGGGAGGTGGGGGGGTCAGCCGCCCCATCTGGGAGGGAGGTGGGGGGGTCAGCCGCCCCGTCCGGGAGGGAGGTGGGGGGGTCAGCCCCCCACCCGGCCAGCCACCCCGTCCGGGAGGTGAGGGGCGCCTCTGCCCGGCCGCCCCTACTGGGAAGTGAGGAGCCCCTCTGCCCGGCCGCCCCTACTGGGAAGTGAGGAGCCCCTCTGCCCGGCCAGCCGCCCAGTCTGGGAGGGAGGTGGGGGGGTCAGCCCCCCGCCCGGCCAGCCGCCCCGTCCGGGAGGTGAGGGGCGCCTCTGCCCGGCTGCCCCTACTGGGAAGTGAGGAGCCCCTCTGCCCGGCCACCACCCCGTCTGGGAGGTGTACTCAACCGCTCATTGAGAACGGGCCATGATGACAATGGCGGTTTTGTGGAATAGAAAGGGGGGAAAGGTGGGGAAAAGATTGAGAAATCGGATGGTTGCCGTGTCTGTGTAGAAAGAGGTAGACATGGGAGACTTTTCATTTTGTTCTGTACTAAGAAAAATTCTTCTGCCTTGGGATCCTGTTGATCTGTGACCTTACCCCCAACCCTGTGCTCTCTGAAACATGTGCTGTGTCCACTCAGGGTTGAATGGATTAAGGGTGGTGCAAGATGTGCTTTGTTAAACAGATGCTTGAAGGCAGCATGCTTGTTAAGAGTCATCACCACTCCCTAATCTCAAGTACCCAGGGACACAAACACTGCGGAAGGCCGCAGGGTCCTCTGCCTAGGAAAACCAGAGACCTTTGTTCACTTGTTTATCTGCTGACCTTCCCTCCACTATTGTCCTATGACCCTGCCAAATCCCCCTCTGCGAGAAACACCCAAGAATGATCAATTAAAAAAAAAAAAAAGCAATGGCAAAATGCATTCAGAGTTTAAAGCACCTATTCCATTTGGCTCAATTCTATACATGCACAGAAACAAAGCAAAAAAAAAAAAAGGAAACTACAACCCCCACCCCCACACAAATCGAAGAACAAACAGAAGCCATTCCAGGCCTCAAGTGAAGCAAGGCATGCGTCTCAGCTCTGAGAAATCCCCACCCTTAAGACCTGGGAAGGTCACAGCCTTCAGGCTGGCTCAAGGGGTTCTCCCCAGCAGGAACCCAGGCTGCTCCTCCCGGGACTGTGCCTGACAGGTAGGGAGTGCTCATAAGTCACAGCGGATATTATCACTACAGGGGTCCCTAACATCTCAGTGAACCCCCAATGTCGGGGAAATCGAGAAACTGGGAATGCGGCCCCAAAGCCTGTAGGAGACCACGTGTGGGCCCAGAGCCTCCCTGCTGCCTCAGAAGGCCAGAGAGCCCACAGGGCAAGCAGGGCCCACGGCAGAGCCCGTCCAGTGGACCCCAAGTCACCCTGTCACTCAGCAACCATATCCCGGCCCCAGGTGGCAGAGGAGGGTGGCCCTCAGGCGGGACAGTCTCCCCAGGCCACCGAGGCTCCTCGGCGCTTAGGCCCCTCGCATGATCCCAGAGTCACCTCACCCCCAAGCACTCCATGACCCCAAGTCCTCTGTCCTCAGCCTTCTCTGCTGGGCTCATTTCAGGTAGGTTTTTTTTTTTTCTTCCCTTCTCATTTTCTTGCTCCCTCTGAGAGGCTAATGTTCTAACAAAGATGTGCTGCTGGAACGAGGCATTAATTTCAATAGTCACTTAAAAGCAATTGCCTGGGAAATATCTCATTTTCCCATTAAATGCCGCAAAGGAGAAGCCTCGGGTGACTCCTCTGTCCCGCTCCCTGCCCCCCTCCTCCTCTGTTCTCCACCCCCTCCCCTCTTCCAAAAATTCATTACAACCTAGACACTATTTCCACTCCCCGTTCTAAAACGCTGCCCTGGGAAGATAGATGAGCCCACTTGGCCTCTGGCCAGCACATGCCCCACAGGTAACTTACTCTGTGCAAATCAATCTGGGACAGATGGGGTGTCTTTTTGGGAGCACAGGCAGGTGGCTCAGCTTGCTTCTCTGGGCTGGGGACAGGGGCAGGCAGGACAGGCAGGTGGGCCCTCGAGGTCTCCTTTTGACGATGGATGTAGCCTGTGGAAGGGATGTGTTTCCAGATCTCCCTGGCCTTGCGAGACATCCCCACAGAGGCCCCTCTCAGGGGAAGCTGCGATCAGGGGTCAGAGCTTGGCACACATGTCATTGTTGACTTGAAAAAGTTGATTAAGCAAGAGAAGGGGTCTCAGTCCTCCCCCAGGCTCCCCTGTGTCTCTCTGGGGTGCCCAGGCCCTGACCACCCCCAACCAAGGCAGGCTCTTCTCTTGCACTCTGTTACCTTGACGAGCTGTCATCTGACCTCCCTCCAAAAAAAATTCATGATAACCTTCTCCCAGAGCTGTTAATAATTATTATTATTATATTTTAATAATTAATATAAGATAATTAATATATAATTATTATATATTAACATAATAATATAATTAAATATTAATATATACTGATATAATAATTATTATTAAAAATCAGAGCAGTGTGAAAGCCCTTTGATGTGAGACAGACATACACCCCTAGCTCTGTTTCATGAGTACTTGTCAGTCTCTGTATATGTGGGTACCATTATCGCCACCACAGTCCCCAGTTTACAGAGGAGGAGCTGACGCCCAGAGAGGCTCCATAACATCCCCTAAAGCCACACAATCTTGGCCCAAGATTTGCTTGGCCCAGGGGCCTGGACGCTTGATCTCACATGGTCTGTCCATGTAGCTTGCAACACTCAGGAAGTCCCTCTCCAGTGAGGGAGCTCTGAACCCTGGCAGTGAGGCCTCTCCAGTGAGGGGGCTCCTGAGCTCTGGCAGTGATGAGCTCTCTGTGACCAGGGGACCCACCTGCAACCTCCCCCCATTCCACAGCTGCCAGCACCTGTGCCCACTTCAAAGCTTAACCCCGGATGATAAGACAGACCAGGAGCCACCAGCTTTATGTACGTTACTTATGAGTCTCAGAACAAACTCACAAAAAAATCTTATTCCCACTTCACAAACAAGAAGTTGAGGATGAGAGAGGTTAACTCAAAGGACAAAGTCACACAGATTTTAAGGCCCCTGCTCTTGACACCAGACTCAGCAGCTTTGATGTTTTTGTTCTCTTCCTCCCTGTTTTTATCTAGGGCTTCTGAGGTGTCCTCCTTCTCCATCTCCTCCCTTCTCCTCCTCCCCCCCCTCCCCCCTCCTCTTCCTCCTCCTCCTTTTTCTTCTTCCTCTTCTTCTTCCTCTTCCTCTTCTTCCTCTCCTTCTCCTTCTCCTCCTCCTCCTCCTCCTTCTCCTTCTCCTGCTCCTCCTCCTTCTCCTTTCTCTTCCTTTTTTTAAATTTAAGAGATGGGGTCCTGCTCTGTCACTCAAGCTGGAGTGCAATGGCATGATCACAGCTCACTGCAGCCTCAACCTCCCAGTCTCAAGCAATCCTCCCACCTCAGCCTCCAGAGTAGCTGCAAATACAGGCACACCTCACCACACCTAGCTAATTTTTAAATTTTTTTGTAGAGACAGGGTCTTTCTGTGTTGTCCAAGCTGGTCTTGAACTCCTGGGTTCAAGTGATCTGCTCCCCGTCAGCCTCCCAAAATGTTGGGATTACAGGAGTGAGCCACCATGTCCGGCAAAGTCACCCTTCTTGAACTTTGATTCACCAAGCTCTTCAGTCCAACTTTACACAAGTGTGAACTCAGAGAGGCGTGTGCTTGTGATTCCTTTATTCACACACAGCCAAGTTGGCACAAGGAGGTGAAACAGAGAAAGGCCTCAGTGTCTTTAGCCAAGCCCCCAGAAGGCCACCTAAGCAGGCTGGATGCTGCCCAGGGCTGGGCCACAGCGTGTCCTTTGCAAGTCAGCCAGCCCAGCCCCCGAACCCCATACACACACAAAGACATCTTGCACCCCAGGAGCAGCCCCACAGTGCAAAGGAGTCCATGCAGCTGCTAATGGCTGCTCGGGTTTGTCTGATCTGTCTGGGGTCAGGCACAGCCTCCAGGGGCCTCTGGCCCAGGTTGCATCTTTCCTGCAGAGCAGAAAAACGAAGCACAGTTAAGAAAACCCCAAGAAGGCAGTCAGTTTCCTCCCTTGAGTTTCCGGGGTGGACTTCCGGCAGAGTTTTTGGAGAACTGACTGTTGCAGTTAAACAATGTGTCTGGCAAGAAGCGAGACTTCCTCCCTTCCTGCTGCCTGGCTCATGGGGCTGCAGCCTCACTTCTGGAGGTGGCAAGAAAGAACTGTGGAGTCTGTGATCTAAGGGATCCCTGGCAGCCCACGGCAGCCAGAGAACCACACCCACTGGAGAACTCTAGGTTCTCTACGGCCTCTTGTTACTGCCAGTGCTTGTGTGGTTTGAGGTGGGTAATGCAGCAGCCTCCTGCAGCCAGCCCAGGACTGGGCAGCATGGGGCCAGGTAGTTAGTGTAGGAGAGCGAGCCTAGGCTTGTAAAGCAAGACTTGGCTCTGTCACTGGGCAACTTTTTTATTTTTTTATTTTTTTTTGAGACAGAGTCTTGCTCTATTGCCCAGGCTGAAGTGCAGTGGCATGCTCAACCCCTTCCTCCCTGGTTCAAGCAATTCTCCTGCCTCAGCCTCCTGAGTAGCTGGGACTATAGGCACGTGCCACCACGCCTGGCTAATTTTTATATTTTTGGTAGAGAGGGGGTTTTGTCATGTTGGCCAGGCTGTTCTCAAACTCCTCCCCTCAAGTAATCTGCCTGCCTTGGCCTCCCAAAGTGCTGGGATTACAGGCATGAGGCACCGCGCCCAGCCTGGGCAACTTTGAAGAAGTTACTTAGCTTCTCTGAGCCTCAGTTTCCTCATCTGTATAACGGAAGCAATAGTGTCCATTTTGCAGGGCTAGTATGACGAGTAAATGAGAATCCTCATGAGGGCCTGGAAATGACAGTGTCATTTCCAGGTGGTTCTACTATTATCAGTGACTGATATTTGTTGAGCACTGACCATAGACTAAGTTTTGTGCTGAGCATTTTATATTTATTGTCCCATTTAGTCCTCCTAAAAATCTAATGAGATATGACTATCCCCAGCTTACAAATAAGAAAACTGAGACTCAAAAAGGCCAGCAAGTGACCCCAGATAACTGCACAAGGATGTGCAGAGAGTGAGCAACAGGACCCGAAGCTGTGGGCTCACACCATGTTCTTCCTGCCTCTTAAGCCCATGGTACAGTTGGTGGGTGCTACCTGAATTGAATGGATGTGCCTGTTGTTTTGAAGTTGGGGTCTATGGCCATACCACCCTGAACGTGCCTGATCTCATCTGAAGTTGAGGATAGGCATCATCTTTCATTTGAAAATGAAGAAACTGAGGCATTGGGACGTTAACTCATGCACAGGCAGCAAGTGGCAGAGAGTGAAAGGAACCAGCATTGATGAGTGCCTATTGTATGCCAAACACTGTGCTTACTTCAAGATCCTATGATCTGCTGGGTGATTTTAGAGATGGAGTTTCATTGACTTCCCACACTGCCCTGAAGAGGTCTTATTAGTATTAGCCCCATTTTACAGAGAAGGGAACTGAAGCTCTATGCATGTAATTAGACTCTGAAGGCTGTTGATGGATGGGGAAGAAGAGGGTCCCTCTCTGCTTTTAAGGAATGCATGGACAGTTATGATTCTGGCCTGAGAAGGAAACTGAAGGGGCTCTGTGCCCGTCCCACATACCCTGCCCCACCCCCAGGGCCTCATGGGTCCCACCAGGGGAGGCTCCTGGCTTCCCAACAGAGGAAGGCATCACTTCAGAAAGGGCTGTCCCCTCAGGCCTTCTGTAGGTGGCCGGTGGGGGTCTAAGTGTATGTGCCCTTCAATCCCCCTTCTCCATTCCCCTCGTCCTCCCTGTGCTCCTGTAATGCCCGCTGGACCACTGGAGAGCCCCCATAGAGAGCAAACAACAGCAGAGCACACAGCCGGCCTCCCGAGGGTACAGGGCTTGCCTGAACTCTCAGGTCTAGTAAAAGCGAGCTTCCTACAGAAATGCACAGGGGACTGAGATCAGAGTTGAGCGGGCCTGGAAGGATCCCGGGGAACAAACAATGCTGCAGGGAAGATGGAGGCCACCCTCGGCAAGCCATCCTTTCTGGTCCCCGAGGAGCCCTGGGGTGGTCCCTGGTCACTATCTTGAACATGATACTCTAGTCTTTTTGCTCACTTCCAATATCAGTAAAATAAACTTGAGCATGTATTCCACAATGTGAAGGTTTATTGATTTATAAATTCTATAAATGTGCTGCTGAGCTCATAAATGCATCACAACACAGACATAGAAGTTGGTATTTTACTAGGATAAGAGGAAATCATAACTAGAATTTCTGATATCTTCTTCCTACACCCCCAGCATTTTGTGGTGTGCCCCCTTTGGGCCTTGGGAAAGTGATGCAGGGCCTGCAGAGCCTGGTATTGTGCTGGGGCCTGGCTGCAATGGGACACTGCCCTTCCCTGCAAGAGGCCAGCGAGCAAGGCGTTTGGCACAGGCTTTGGGGTCAGACAGAAGTGAGTTCTGATCTCAGCTCTGCCTCTGAGGAGCAGTGTGGCCTGGGCAATGACTTGCCTCCTGGAGCCTCCGTTTCCTCATCACGAAGTGGGGGAGATAATCTTCCTGTGCAGAGGTGATGAGATGATGAGCCCAAAGACACAGCGCGGTGCGTGCCACGGAGGAAGTGGTGTTCGCTCGATAGTCCTGAATCCTCCTGCTTACCAACGAGCTCCCGGTTCCCACCCATGCCAGAGAGGTCAGTAGGTGGCCTGGATGCCTGAAGGTCCGTCCTAAGGTTGAAGTCTAAATAGGGAGAACGGATGACTTGGGAGAAACGTCTCCACAGCTCCTCCTTGGCTCTGGGCACAGCCTTTCTCTTGAGTGGTAAGTCGTACTCCTATGGCTCCAGGTAGAATTCCACAAAAAGAAACATATACGTACACAATTTTTATTTCATCCCTCTTCTGGCATCCTCCCAGTTCTACTCACACATGCTTGTGAGTCCCTTTGGTGACTTAGAAAGCACAGTAGAGCCAGCATAATCATTCTGCAGCGGTAGAATCTATTTTTAACCTGGAATAGCCCCACGGACAGGAGACCTGTACTGTCCCCCATTAAGGGGACTCCCCATCCTATGCCATTTATCAGGACTCACACAGCCCTCATGAGGCCACCAAAAAGACAGGACACCTCCCAAGCCACAGCTGCAGCCCTGAGAGGGAAACGTACAAGCTCCCCACCTGGAGGCAGCCTCTTCCTGAGTGAGCGGCGGGGTGCTCCGCCATCAACTTGTCAGTCATTCATCCGGGGAAGGATGGAGGAAGCCGCTGTTGACCGCTTCGCCCACACCCCAGGGTGGCTCTGAGGCGCTCCTGTGGCCTGGGACAGAATGTTTCTGTGAACAGCAGCCCATGGCCAGGCAAACACAGAACATCTCCCCTGGAAGACCCGCATTCAAAGGGCCACCAGATTAAACTCCCACTTCACACTGAGGGGGAGCTGATAAGCAATGTGGGGGGGGGGGGCGGTGCAGAGAGATTGGGCCTACAGGTGGAGTGCTTCTCTGGGAGGGGCAGCCTGCTCCTCTGGGAACCAAGCCACTGTTCTCTCCAGCACCCTTACCCCAGAGGACTCTGTGTCTGAGCTTTCTGAGCAATTATCAGCTTCCACTGCAGCTGCAGCAGGCACGTTGTTGGAGAGCCCAGCTGGGTTCAAGGACTCTTCCCTGGTGCAAGCCTGGATTCCAAAGACCATGCGTGTGGGGGCTGGGATAGATGCCCTCTAATTAGCCATGCACCCTAGTTATTCCCTTCCACACCTCTTTCCTGCCCTCCCCTCCTTTTCCCCTCAGAAGTGAAGGTGCTCATAGCAGTCATCAATGTGCTTACAGAGCATTTAGCTCAAAGTTGCATAATCTTTAACCTTCCCCAGGCCCCAGCCTGTCGGTCTCCACACCAGCCACTGTGAGGACAGGATGAATTCATTTGCAGAAGACAAGCACAAAACCTCCGATAGAAAATAAATGCAATGTACCATAGTAAATGGGAGCAGCTTAAAAAAAAAAAAGCACAAAATCCATTGGGGACCCTGTTGCCATAGGAACTGGCATTACAGCTTGCTTCCGATAATTAATGGAGGGTTTTGCTATTACAGTATTCTTGAAACTTCGGTTTCCCCTGTGCTGCACTGCAGAATGCAGCATCCTCTCCCCATTCATAAATATTTCATGACTACCGGCTGCTGTGTTTCATCACCGTGGATAGCACTCGGCCTAATCCACCCCTTGCCAAATTCATGTTGTCCTGTCAGAGAGCAACTTCCATTTCTTCCTCTTTCTTCTGCAGTCTTCATTTATCTGGTTTGAAGTTCTTTACCTTCCCAACCCCAGAATGGTGGCTTTCATTGTGGCTTTGTCTTCAGACGCTGGACATCTCTTTCCTGTGCCTGTCTTATTTTCCTAACGGTCCCGTGGGCCTCCCCCAGGGGCATTGGTTGTGCTCCGGCCGTACTGCCTTCTGCACATCTGCTTTAATGGAGTCCTGGGAGGATACTGGGCTTTTGAATTCTGGTGTCTCAACATGCTGGCTGAGCCTCTGTTCCCTCATGGTTAAGTAGAGATGCCACCTGCCCTGCAGGGTTGGAGAGAGAGAGCCAGAAAAGATACAACACGTGTAAAGTACCAGTCCCCCCACGGGTGGGCTCAAATGGTCACAGTGGCTGCTGGTGTTGGTTTGTTCTCTTATATCTCTTGTTTTTGTCTAGATAAAATCCGTAACTTTTTTTAATTGACAAAATTGTATGCATTTGTGTGTACAGCAAGTTTTGATATTTTGACATGTAGAATGGCTGATCCAAGCTAATTAACCGTGCATTACCTCACATACATTTTTTGTGATGAGAATACTTAAAATCTACTCTTAGCAATTTTCTAGTATACAATATATTAATTGTAGTCACCATGTTGTACAATAGATGTCTTGAAATTCTTCCTCCTGTCTAAATGACAATTTTAATCTTTTCATCAACATCTCCCCAAGCCCCCCAACCCCCAACCCCTGGTAACCACCATCCTATTCTTTGTTTCTATGAGTTTGACTTTTTTTAGATTCCCCGTGTAACCGGGATCATGCCGTATTTGGCTTTCAGTGCCTGGCTTATTTCACTTACCTAATGTCCTCTAGGTCCACCCATGTTGCAAAGAACAGGATTTCCTTCTTTTTAGAGGCTGAATAGTATTGCATTGTGTATATACATCATATTTTCTTTTTCCATTCATCCATTGATGGATACTCCCTGTCTTGGCTTCTGTGAAGAATGCTTCAATGAACATGGGAGTGCAGATATCTCTTCAACATACTGATTTCATTTCCTTTGGACATATCCCCAGTAGTGGGATTGCTGGATCATACGGGAGTTCTATTTTTAATTTTTTGAAGAACCTCCACATTATTTTCCATAATGGCTGCACTAACTTACATCCCCGCCAAATGTGCAAGGGTTTGCTTTTCTCCACATCCTTAGCCATCCTAGCAGGTGTGAGGTGCTATCTTATTATGGTTTTAATTTTCATTTCCATGATGATTAATGATGAATATTTTCTCATACACCTATTGGCCATTTGTATGTCTTCTCTTGAGAAATGTCTGTTCAGGTCCTGTGTCCATTTTTTAATTGATTTACAGATGTTCCTTGACTTACGATGGGGCTATGTCCCAATAAACTCACTGTTGGTAGGTAACACTGTAAGTCAAAAGCATTTTTAGGCCAGGCATGGTGGCTCATGCCTGTAATCCCAGCACTTTGGGAGGCTGAGGCAGGCAGATCACTTGAGCTCAGGAGTTCAAGACCAGCCTAGGCAACATAGCGAAATCCCATCTCTACTAAAAATACAAAAATTAGCTGGGCATAGTGGAGCGTGTCTGTGGTCCCAGCTACTCAGGAGGCTGAGGTGGGAGGATTACTTGAGCCCGGGAGGTGGAGGTTGCAGTGAGCCAAGATGGAGCCACTGCACTCCAGCCGGGGTGACAGAGTGAGATCCTGTCTCTAAATAAATAAATATTAAAATTAAAAAGTGTATTTAATGCCCCTAATTTACCCAACATCATAGCTTAGCCTGGCCTACCTTAAGTGTGCTCAGAACTTTCATTAGTCTATAATTGGGCAAAATCATCTAACACAAAGCCTATTTTATAATAATGTGTTGAATAGCTCATGTAATTTATTGAATACTGTACTGAAAGTGAAAAACATAATGGTTGTATGGGTATAGAAGTATGGTTTCTACTGAATGCATGTCACTTTCATATCATCGTAAAGCTGAAAAATTGTAAATGGAAACATCATAAGTGGGGGACTGTCTGGATTTGTTTCCTTGCCATTTAGTTGAGTTGCTGTTGCTTTAACTTAAAATAAATAAATAATAAATAAATAAATAAATAAGCTTCTTTCTCCTTGCTGCCCTAGTGGAGGGGCTAGCTGGACAGCACGTTAAAGCTCTATGGCCCAGGATGATTCCAATGAAGGCTCTTCACAGGAACATGGAGAGAGGCCATGCTCTGGCCCTGCAGACATTAAGCTGTGGACAATGCTGTTTAAAGGTGACAGGGATGGCCGGGCACAGTGGCAAACCCCTGTAATCCCAGCACTTTGGGAGGCCGAGGTGGGTGGATCACCTAAGGTCAGGAGTTCGAGGTCAGCCTGGACAACATGGTGAAACCCCATCTGTACTAAAAATACAAAAATTACCCAGGCATGGTGGTGGGGGCTGTAATCCCAGCTACTCAGGAGGCTGAAGCAGGAGAATCACTTGAACCCGGGAGGCAGAGGTTGCAGTGAGCCAAGGTCACGCCATTGCACTCCAGCCTGGGCAAAAAGAGTGAAACTCCATCTCAAAAAAAAAAAGGTGACAGGGACAAGTCCTGAGCTAGAGGAAGTGGCAAGTTGATTCATGTGCATTTAGTACAGAAACGGTGCTCAGCGTCACTTCTCCCCAGGACTCAGGGCCTGGCGCTCCTCCTTCTTGCCTCCCCTAAGTGTGCTTCAAGGCTCAGTTAGTGAACATTAGTGAGCCTCACTCTGAGAAGTTAGTGAGCTTCACTCTGAGAAGAGGCACTGATGGTGGGGTGGAATGGAGCCTTCTGCTCTCCTGTTGAGGGAGCAGCATCTGGAGAGGATGGCTGGTGGCTTGAAGCCCAGTGCTGCTGCTGGGTCTTGAGTGCTAGCCTGTGGGTGACCCGGGGAAATTCTCCCCTGACTCTGGGCTTGTTTCCTGCCACCTCCCACAAGAACACAAACACACCACGCTGTTGCTCACCACCAGGCCCGTCCAGCAAACTTTGGGGCCTGTGAAAACAGGGGGAGAGTCCTCCCTGACACCTCCTCAGAAGCCTGCTCTGGGGCATGGTCATTGTCCTCCTTGTCCCCATTCCTTACCTTCCTCAGCACCACAGGGACTCAGGGGCAGTTGCCTTTTGAAGCCACATCCTGAAGGCAGCCCTGAACACCCATCATCCCATGGTCAGTTTCTCTCACAGGGGACAGGGTCTAGGCAGATGCATATAGAAGACCCATGGGCTAGAGCCAGGCGAGGTGGGTTCAAGGATGGGAAGAACCAGAGGGGTTAAAACTAGAGAGATTGAATCCTGACATGAAGTCTCAGGAAGAGTTCAGAGCAAAAGACAGAAGCCCTGCCAAGAGGGTTAGAAACTGTGAGATTTCCACTTGAAACGAGGAACTGGAAGCAGAAAGTGAGGTCGGATTGAGCACAGAAGGTCCAGCCAATGGGCAGGGAAGCAGGGATGCTTCATTGTCTCTGCTAAGGGGCTGGAGAGGGTCGAGCTGGTTAAAGGCATGAATGTGGAGGGACCTCAACCACTGAGGCTGCATTTCTCTTACTGCCTTGAGCTCCTCCTTCAAACCCAGCCCTAGTCACACATGCTGGCTTGGTGGTTGTCACTGAGCTCCAGAAACCTCCCACCCAGGTCCTCCCGTCATGGCAGTGGTGGCCAACAGGGAATAGCGTCCCTATTGGCCAACCTGCCAATAGAGACTGGCAGACTCCCCAACCTGCCCCCAAGAGTTCAGGACCCTGTTTGACAGCACTTCCAGCCTTCTATGCAGACTGAGGAGGAAGCTGATCTGAGATTCAGTGCTCACTCCAGAAGCCCCAAGGGCACTAGTGCTGTCTGACATTCTTCTCTAGACCCCTTGACCAATGAGGCCAGGTACCTCAGCACAGCCTCATCCTCCTGCCCCTGGGGACATTTGCTGGAATCCTCTGCTGCTTTGATTCTGCCAGGCCCTGCCTGCAGGGGGTTCATACAACCTGGGCCCCTGGGTACCTACGCACAGCCCTCAGGGGAGGACCCTCTGCAGGGCCCGTGAATGGGAGCCTCTCCTGTAGGTTATCTCTCCCGGCCTCCTGTCCTGTTCTGGTTTCTGGGACACAAATTCAAACCCCTGCCCACACTCATCACTACTTCCTTCCCTGCCCATCTTTTTAATATTATCATGCCATAAAATATACATAATATAAAATTTACCATCTTAGCCATTTTTAAGGACATAGTTCCATGGTATTAAGCACGTTCATGTTGTCGTGCAGCCATCACCACCACTCAGCTGCAGGACTTTTTCACTGTCCCAAACTGAAACCCCGAACCCATTAACACTAACGCCCCATCCCTCCCTCCCTCTAGTCGCTGGTAACCATCATGTCACTTGCTGTCTATGAATTTCACAATTGTAGGTGCTTCATGTGAGTGGAATCACGGACAATTTGTCTTTTTGTGCCTGGCTGATTTCACTGAGCATAGTGTTCTCAAGGGTCATCCGTGTGGCAGCATGTGGCAGAATTCCCTTCCTCTTTAAGGCTGAATCATACTCCATTGTCTGGATAGACCACATTTTGTTTATTCATTCATCCTTCAATGGACATATGGGTTGCTTCCATCTTTAGGCTATTGTGAGTAATGCTGCCAGGCACATAGGTGTACCAATATCTGTTTGAGCCCCTGCTTTCAATTCTTTGGTTGTATACCCAGAGGTGGGATTGCTGGATCATATGATAATTCTATGTTTATTTTTTTCGAAACCTCAATACTGTTTTCCACAGTGGTTGCACCGTCTTACATTCCCACTGACTGTGCATGAGGGTTCCAGTTCCTCCATGTCTTCAATACCTGTTATTTTCTGTTTATTTTTTAGCTATGGCCATTCTAATGGGTGTGAGGTGGTATCTCATTGTAGTTTTGATTTGCATTTTCTTAATGATTATCGAGGTTAAGTCCCTTTTCATGTGCTTAATGGCTATCTGTCTCCTTTGGAGAATGTCTGCTGAAGTCCTCTCTCTGTTTTTTCATTGGGACGTTTGTGTTTTCATTGTTGACTTTTTGGAGTTGCTGCCTATTTTAAAGCTCTTTGTGGTAGGCCTCCTCATGAATAAGCCCTAACAACCCCCAGCCACTGACCTTTGAGAGTCCTTTTGGAGTCTGACCTCTGCAGCCACGTCTTCTTAATCGTGGTCATCTCAACTGCTCTTGTTGCAGCCTTCTCCAGGTCTCTCCTCTTCCTTTGCAGCAGGAGTAAGAAGCGCATGGTGTTTTCCAGTCTGGGCTCCCAGTGGTTCCCTTTGTGCAGGACAAGCGATGTGCTATTCCTGGGACCTCCCCTCCTGCTGGGGTTCCAGCAGCATCCTGGGTCAATGACCTCTGCAAACCTTCCACAGAATTCCTCTAACGCCTCTTCCTGGGTCAGAGCAGAGAGCTCAGTGCCAAACATTTCATAATTACCACTTCAAAGATTACGCCTCACACGTGCTTCAGGGATGTTCCAGGGGCAGAGAAAGGAAGCGTGCACTGGAGGTGTTATCTCGCTTCATTACCAACGTCATAAAGATTGAGTACTTACCTGCCAGGTCGCATAGTGTTCAGTGCTGGAGCGCATGTGAATGTCTACAGTGCACTGCCCATCGGGCCAAACCTTAGTTCCCAAGGCCTTCCTTGAGTGACTTCAGCTCATTTCTGGAATGTTTCAATGACGCCACTTTCCAGTTCCAGGGAGACTTTCTAGAGAGTCAAAGCAACAAAAGGCAGAGAAAGCAAGAGAGAAAGTAGAAGGAGGGGAGGAAGAAATGGAAGAGCAACAGACTCCTTTTTCACTCTCAGACTCTCTCCTCTCTCCCACTCAGAGCCCCACACTTGCTTGCTTAGAAGTTGCCTGCTCGGCTGCCCTGGGACTTGCTTTTCACTTGGATCTGAATTCAGCGACTCCAAGCTCCACCTGGGCAGAGGGAAGCCTGGGAGAGCCCAAATGCTTAGGGCCTGACTTCCAAGGAAGATGATTTCCCCCAACACTGGGGCATCTGATGCATTGGTAGGCTAGCTCCTCCTCTGAGAGCAACTGCCTCTCAGGGGAAGACATCTGTCCTTCAGATCCAGCCTGGGGATGGGGAGGAGGGAAGGTGAAAGGAGGGGAGGGGTAGGAGAGAGCAGGGAGGGCAAGGACAGAACACAGGTGGGAGGAACAAGGTGGAGGAGAGTAGGGAGGCACTTGGCACCATTTGGAGAGCAGCTACAGTGCCTCGCACACAAGACGCATCTAAAGACGGAAAGGCCGGCCCCAACAAATCCTGTGAAATGGGGGCGTTTCTTCTCGGATTGCTGCCCACCCTTACCCCCATGTCATCTGTGGAAAATAAGGCTCAACATGTCACCTTTTGGACTCTACAAGTTTCTCAGAAGTGCCTGAGCCACCAGGTCATCAAGCAGGGGATGTCGCATGGGGGGCCTGACCCTCCAGCCCACTATCCAAGGAGAGCTACTCAGTTTATATCTGTTCGATGTGTATCAAAAAGACATTCTGGGGCTGGGCTCATGCCTGTAATGCCAGCACTTTGGGAGGCCAAGATGGGTGGATCACAAGGTCAGGAGTTCGAGACCAGCCTGGCCAACATGGTGAAACCCTGTCTCTACTAAAGATACAAAATATTAGCCGGGAGTGGTGGCAGGCGCCTGTAATCCCAGCTACTCAGGAGGCTGAGGCAGGAGAATTACTTGAACCCGGGAGGCGGAGGTTGCAGTGAGCTGAGATTGCGCCATTGCACTCCAGCCTGGGCCACAGGGCGAGACTTGGCCTCAAAAAAATAAATAACCACTGCTTCAACATAAACACATAGATGACTGGCCTGAACTCCACCCCCACCCCCCACCAAGGACCCCTCCACCTCAGACATCTCCTGGTCTTCACCCTGCCCCAGGCAGAGAGTGACAGATGTCCACTCTGTTAGCCACAAGGAACTGGCCAGGTCAAGCTGGTGCAGAGGGAAGGGAGTTGGATCAAGTCCATGTTCCTAACAGCAAGAACTATTGCCCCTGGGAGCTGGGAGAAGTTGGAATTGATTGGAATGCCCAAGGTGGCCTGGCTGGGCCCAGGGATGCTGAAATGCATTAAAAGGAGACCTTCTGGGGCCTGTTGTCAGTCAAAGGGAGTGAAAAAGGGCAGATGTTAACTTCATATAGAACTTTCTAGAAAAATGAAATCGATTTTTCTAGAAACGAAAATAGAAATGTTTCATAGGCCAGGTGCAGTGGCTCACGCCTGAAATCTCAGCACTCTGGGAGGCCGAGGCAGGAGGATCACTTGAGCCCAGGAGTTTGAGACCAGCCTAGGCAACATAGGGAGACCCCATTTCTACAAGAAAAGTTAAAAAAATTAGCTGGGCGTCTGTAATCCCAGCACTTTGGGAGGCTGAGGCGGGAGGATCACAAGGTCAGGAGTTCAAGACCAGCCTGGCCAGCATGGTGAAACTCCATATCTACTAAAAATACAAAAAATAAAATAAAATTAACTGGGCAGGGTGGCACAAGCCTGTAATCCTAGCTACTCAGGAGGCTGAGCCAGGAGAATCGCTTGAACCTGGGAGGTGGGGGTTGCAGTCAGCTGAGATTGCACCACTGCACTCCAGCCTGGGCGACAAAGCAAGACTCCATCTCAGAAAAAAAAAAGAAAAATTAGCTGTGCGTGATGGCATGTGCCTGTAGTTCCAGCTACTTGAGAGGCTGAGTCAGGAGAATTACTTGATCACTTGGGCCCTTGGGTTCAGGGCTGCAGTGAGCCATGATCACACCACTGCACTCCAACTTGGGTAACAGAGTGAGTCTCTCTCTCTCTCTCTCTCTCTCTTTCTCTCTCTCTCTCTCTATATATATACACACACACACACATATATATACATATATACACACATATATATATACACATATACACACACATATATATAAATTTTTAAAAAGAAATGTTTTATAAAACATAACAAATACTTGTTTATTTAACCATTTTCTTACTGCTCTCAAAGTCTAAATGTCCCTTGGTAGAGAAGCTGAGGAGAAATCTGCAGAAACTCAGGAATCTGGTGTCAGCCTCTGAATTGGTGATTCTCAACACCGGCTGCACTTCAGGACCTCCCAATGGGTTGGTTAACACTTTGTTCAAGCCCCACCCTCGTTGAGTCTGGTTTAAGTGGCCTGGGTGGGGGTGGGCACAGGGATTTATTTGTTAAATGCTCACCAGGTGGTTACAATGGGCAGCCCAGGTTGACAGCCATCAAGGTAAAGTAAAAGTTGCGTAACTTCCAGCAGCCACACCCCTTATTTATGAAACGAGTTAAAACCTTTTCCACACAAAAACCTGCACGCGGATGTTTAGAGCCACTTTATTCATATTTGCTAAAACTTGGAAACAATCAAGATATCCTTCAGTAGGTGAGGGGATAAACTGGGGTACATCCAGACAATGGCATATTACTTAGCACCAAAGAGAATTGAGCTGCAAAGCCGTGAAAAGGCATGGGGGAACCTTAAATGCATATTACTGAGTGAAAGAAGCCAATCTGAAAAGGCTGCATACTGTATGATTCCAACTGTATGACATTCTGGAAAAGGTGAAACTATGAAGAGGGTAACAAGATCAGTGGTTGCCAAGGGGGGAGTGGGAGGAAGGGATGAATTGGTAGGGTACAGAGGATTTGTAGGGCAGTGACACTACTCTGATATTATAATGATGGATACATGTCATAATGCATTTGTCAAAACCCATAAAATGCCCAACACAGAGAGTGAACCCTAAGTTAAACTATGGACTCTGGGTGATAGAGATGTGTCAATGTTGGTTCATTAATTGAAACAAACATGCCAATCTGGTGGGGGATGTTGATAATGAGGGAAGCTGTGTGTGTGTAGGGGCGAAAGTACCTGGGATATCTATGTACTCTGCTCAATTTTTCTGTGAACCTAGAACTGCTCAGAAAAGGAAGTCTGTTTTTAAAAGAAAAAAGCTATGGCTCTCCTCTCCTCCCCATTCGACAAACAGCCCCATCTGCTCATGCAGTGTCAGCTTCATCCAGGATACAATGGTGAAAGTTTGAGTCAATGGATTTGGCCATATTTGATACCTGGTCACCAGGGCAGATTTTAACTCTGGCAAAATGGATATTGTCATCATCAATGATCTCTTCATTGGCCTCAACTTCATGGTCTACATGTTCCAGTATATTTCATGGCAAGTCCAATGGCACAGTCAAGGAAAGAGAACAGGAAGCTTGTAATCAATGGGAAGCCCATCTCCATCCTCCAGGAGCAAGATCTCGCCAACATCACATGAGGCAACTCTGGTGCTGAATATGGTGCAGAGCCCACTGGCATCTTCAGCACCATGGAGAAGACTGGGGCTCACCTGAAGTAGCCAAAACTGTCGTCATCCATGCCCCTTGTGCTGTTGTGCAGATTCCATGGTGTGATGGGTGTGGACCATGAGAAGTATGATTTCTCTTCTTGAGATTGTCAGCAATGCCTCCTGCACCATCAACGTTTGGCACCCTTGGCCAAGGTCATCTATGACTACAGTCCATGCCACTACTGCCACCAGAAGACTGTTGGAGAAACTCTGGCGTAACTGCTGCAGAACATCATCCCTGCATCTACTGGTGTGGCCAAGGCTATGGGCAAGGTCATCCCTGAGCCAGATGAGAGGCTTACAGGTATGGCCTTCTGTGTTCCCACCCATAAGAGCCATGTTGGTCATGGCTCTCGTCTGCCTTCTGCAGAAAGCTGCGAAATGTGATGGTATGAGAAGATGGTGAAGCAGGTATTGGAGGGCCCCCTCAAGGGCATCCTGAGCTACACTGAGGATGAAGTTGTCTCC